>NC_000003.12:164008604-164160119 GCF_000001405.40 Homo sapiens | reverse complement strand
GCAGTAATTAATAGCCTACCAACCAAAAAAAGCCCAGGGAAAGACAGATTCACAGCTGAATTCTACCAGATACAAAGAGGAGCTGATACCATTTCTTCTGAAACTATTCCAAAATATAGAAAAAGAGGGACTCTTCCCTAACTCATTTTATGAGGCCAGCATCATCCTGATACCAAAACCTGGCAGAGACACAACAAAAAAGAAAATTTCAGGCCAATGTCCCTGATGAACACAGATGTGAAATTCCTCAATAAAATACTGGCAAACCAAAATCAGCAGCACATCAAAAAGCTTATCCACCACAAACAAGTCGGCTTAATCCCTTGGGTGCAAGGTTGGTTCAACATATGCAAATTGATAAATGTAATCCATCATATAAACAGAACCAATGACAAAAACCACATAATTATCTCAATAGATGCAGAAAAGGCCTTCAACAAAATTCAACAGCCCTTCATGCTAAAAACTCTCAATAAACTAGGTATTGATGGACATATCTCATAATAAGAGCTATTTATGACAGACCCACAGCCAATATCATACTGAATGGGCAAAAGCTGGAAGTCTTCCCTTTGAAAAAAGGCAAAAGACAAGGATGCCCTCTCTCAGCACTCTATTCTACATAGTATTGGAAGTTCTATCCAAGGCATTCAGGCAAGAGAAAGAAATAAAGGGTATTCAAATAGCAAGAAAGGAAGTGAAATTGTCTCTGTTTGCAGATGACATAATTGTACATTTAGAAAACTCTATCATCTCAACCCAAAAACTTCTTCAGCTAATAAGCAACTTCAGCATAGTCTCAGGATACAAAATCAGTGTGCAAAAATCACAAGCACTCCTATACACCAACAGTAGACAAACAGCCAAGTCATGAGTGAACTCCCATCCACAATTGCTACAAAGAGAATATAATACCTAGGAATACATCTTGCAAGAGATGTGAAGCACCTCTTCAAGAACTACCAACCACTGCTCAAGAAAATAACAGAGGACACAAAAAATGGAAAAGCATTCCATGCTCATGGGTAGAAAGAATCGATATCATGAAAATGGCCATACTGCCCAAAGTAATTTATAGATTCAATGCTATTCCCATCAAGCTACCATTGACTTTCTTCACAGAATTAGAAAAAAGTACTTTAAATTTCATAGGGAAACAAAATAGAGCTCATATAGCCGAGACAATCTCAAGCCAAAACAAACAAACAAAAAAGGCTGGAATGCATTACACTACCTGACTTCAAACTACACTATAAGGCTACAGTAATCAAAACAGCATGGTACTGGTACCAAAACAGAGATCTAGACCAATGGAACAGAACAGAGGCCTCAGAAATAACACCACACATCTACAACCATCTGATCTTTGACAAACCAGACAAAAACAAGCAATGGGTAAAGGATTCCCTATTTAATAAATGGTGCTGGAAAAACTGGCTAGCCATATGCAGAAAACTGAAACTGGATCCCTTCCTTACACCTTATACAAAAATTAATTCAAGATGGATTAAAGACTTACACATAAGACCCAAAACCATAAAATCCCTAGAAGAAAACGTACGCAATACCTTTCAAGAAATAGTCATGGGCAAAGACTTCATGACTAAAACACCAAAAACTATTGCAACAAAAGTCATAATTGACAAATGAGATCTAATTAAACTAAGGAGCTTCTGCACAGTGAAAGAAACTATCATCAGAGTGAACAGGCAACCTAGACAATGGGAGAAAATTTTTTCAATCTACCCATCTGACAGAGGGCTCATATCCAGAATCTATAAGAAACTTAAACAAATTTACAAGAAACAAAAAACAACCTAATCAAAAAGTAGGCAAAGAATATGAACAGACACTTTTCAAAAGAAGACATTTATGTGGCCAACAAACATATGAATAAAAGCTCATTATCACTGGTCTTTACAGGAATGCAAATCAAAACCACAATGAGATATCATCTCATGCCATTTAGAATGGTGATCATTAATCAGGAAAGAATAGATACTGGAGAGGATGTGGAGAAATAGGAACATTTTTACACTGTTGGTAGGAGTGTAAGTTGGTTCAATCATTGTGGAAGACTGTGGTGATTCCCAAGGATCTAGAACCAGAAATACCATTTGACCCAGCAATTCCATTACTGGGTATATAACCAAAGGATCAGAAATTATTCTATAAAGAGATGTGCACACTATGTTTATTGCAGCACTATTCACAGTAGCAATGTCTTGGAACCAACCCAAATGCCCATTGATGATAACTGGTAAAGAAAATGTGGCACATATACACCATGGAATACTATGCAGCTATACAAAGGATGAGTTCATGTCCTTGCAAGAGACATGGATGAAACTGGAAACCATCATTCTCAGCAAACTAACACAAGAACAGAAAACCAAACACCACATGTTCTCACTCATAAGTGGGAATTGAACAATGAGAACATATGGGCACAGGGAGGGGAAGGTCACAAAATGGGGCCTGTCAGGGTGTGGGGTCCAACAGGAGGGATAGCATTAGGAAAAATACCTAATATAGTTGACAGGTTGGCGGGTGCAGCAAACCACCGTGGCACATGTATACCTATGTAACAAACCTGTATGTTCTGCACATGTATCACAGAACTTAAAGTATTATAAAAATATTTTAAAAATTAAGTAAAGTTGAAAAATAATAAGTTGAACCATTGTAAATAGAAAATCATCTGGATTTTCCAACTTGTGATTAAGTTATTTTCTCTTCTAGTAAACTCTTCCTTAAAAATAGGCTGAATTTTCCTTTGAAAAATAGAATTGTAGCTACTTTTCAAAATTTTGAGATTGCTGAGACATATTGGCACTTAGTAAACATTTGAAAATAAACTTCTCTTTGTACTTTATTTCACTTTCTCATAGATTTGATGTTAATTTTTATGAATAGCAAATCACTCATATCTTTTTCCTCTTCCAAATCTTGGCATTCTTTCCAATTTCATTGTTTCCTTTCCTTCTGTCTTTAGACATAAGGAGAGCTATCCTGGTTTAAAAAAATTAAGGGAAGGAAATACGGTATTTCATTCTGCCAATTTCCTTAATTAGTCGTGTTCGTTTACTCTTTCCCAGAATATAAAATGTAGGGTTTAGCTCTTTTCTTCTTACCTCTCTTGATAAGTCACTTTACCTTTGGGAATCTCAACAGTAAATCTTTCTCCAAGCAAAAAGCAATGCATCCTACATTGAAAGTTGCTCTTTCTTACTGAATATATGCTATATTTTAATTTTCACTAGTCTCTATTATCTATCTTGTTCAATTTATCTACGTCACTTTCCACTTCACTCATACTCTTTATTCTATATAGATTCATTATTTATGCTCTCATAATTAGAGACATACAATTTTTATGTATTTACTCTTGGTTTCTACCTTTTCTGTACCTGAAATTTCCATCCTTTCCACTTCTAACCATACAAATACCATATCATTCTAGATCAAGTTCAAGCCTAGAAATATCTTCGTTCTCATGTATGTCCTTCACACTTGAACACATTACATGCCATAGAAGTAATATGTATATATGTTTGTTTCTTATTTGTTCAATTTAATATTCTTTGTGTATGTTCAATAATTTGAAGGATTAAATTTTTTCAAATATATTTCTTTCAGTATATGTCAGAAGATACTGAGACGACGCTATCACAATCTGTCTTTTATAGTTCCTTTTCTGGTCTAACAATTATCAAACTTATGTTTCAATTATTACAGGACTCAACTAACCCCTTCCTTTAAGGATTTCCCAGTTTGATCCAGGTTACACAGGATTACCATTAGTTTATTCAGCAAATATTTATTACAACTATTGTATGCAACATACTATTAGATACTAAAGGTGAAAAGACAAATGAAAAACAATCCTTGGGTCACAAGATGCATCCTGCTAGTGTATCTATTAAAACCCTTTTCTAAATCTTTCCTTTTCTTCCATGTCCATTTTAAATTATTCCTTTTCCATGATGACTTTCCTGATATTACTGACTTCAATTAATTGAATTGTTTCTTGAACTTTTATACAAATTGTATTCATTTATGTAATTTCATAAAATAGCTGTATTTTCATTATTATATAAGCTCTGCGTATTTATTTTACTTTGCACAATATCACACATCGCCTCTGGTCTTGGGAATGTTTTACATATAATAAATATCTATTAAATATTGATTAACACATGAAGGTAATCAATAGCTTGTGGTTAAAGAGTGATAGTAATATTAGTTTATATTTTAGATATTAGATGAGGTTCAATCTAGTACTCCCTGAGCATGTGATATAGTTCAGATGTGTTTCCCACTGGAATCTCATATTGAAATGTAATCCCAGTGTTGAAGGTGGGGCCCGGTGGCTGGTGATTGGGTCATAGGGTTGGATTTCTCATAAATAGTTTATCACTATCCCCTGTAATGCTGTCTTCATGAGAGTGAGTTAGTTCTTGTGAGATCTGGTTGTTTAAATGTGTGTAGCACCTCCCCCTTACCCTGCTGCTTCTGCTTTTGCCATGTGATGTGCCTGTTCCCCCTTAGTCATCAGCCATGACTGTACATTTCCTAAGGCTTCCTCAGAAGCTGAGCAGATGCCACTAGGCTTTCTTTACAGTTTGTAGAACCATAAGCCAATTAAACATATATATATATATATGTTTATATATATGTTTATATATGTTTATGTGTGTGTGTGTGTGTGTGTGTGTGTATTCCATCTCAGGTATTCAGTTATAGCAATTCAAGAATGGCCTAATATAGCATGTAAGTAATAATTTCTAAGCATAAGATGATTCGCTCATTTTTTTCCTTTTTAAATACATTTACCATTGTTAATATTTTGTACTTAAATATCAATAAGAAAATCAGCATATATTTTAAATATTTAAATTAAATTATATATTTTCTATCAACTTTGAAAGAGGTGTGTCTATTACCATAATTATGCAGCAATGCCCTATAACAACAATTTTGACACATTGAACCCCTATAATTGTTACAAATTTGAATAATTCAAGTCTTTTTTCCCCCTATGATTTTCCATGTAGTTTATAGATTGCCTCATACAAAATTCAGAATCTCTCATTCTTCCTGGCAGTTTCATTTGTGTTTTACTGAACACTGACTCTTTAAAAGATTTGCATTGATTTTTAAATGATTGTACTCTCATAGATGATACTTAATGGTTGTAGCCTTGTGCTTTCATGGGAGACCTTTCATCACCTTATGTACCTTGTTGTTCACTTATATCTGAATCTCTTGTTTTTTTTTTTTTTAATGTGTTCTGATCACAACATTCAGACAATGTGAGCAAAAATGTTTGGTAATTAGGTTCCTCAATAGGAAATAAGTTCCGTGCTGAACTTCCAAATGACTACCCTCATAATTTTATAAAGCTAGCTTGAAATAATACCTTAGTAAGCACCATTTTGAACTATTTTTTCTCCAAATATTTAAAATTAGTCTGAAAATACTCAATATATTTTGAATCTCAACATGATAAAACATTCAATTTGAACAGTTGAGGCCTAAGGTTAATAATTTTATGTTGTGATATTTCACACATATTATGGAAAATGGCTGCATAGCAATATAAAAACAATAATATATCCCCATGGAGAAACCATAAGGAAAAGAATAATTATTTTCAATTTCTTCCATATACACACACACAAACATAGATAGATAGATAACTTTGCCTGTCCACATTTTCATTTTAGTAAAGCCGCCCACAAATAAGAATTAAATGTAAAGTTCTCAGGATGTATAAGTTGTTTCTGAGATTTTATTTATTGCTGTTTTTCTAATTGCTTTTTATAATCTTGTGGGCATACAGTGTTGTGAAAATGGACATTTCTAAAATTAAAATTAGAAACAAAGCCTCTCAAATCTTATGATTATTTATGGATATAAATGACGTTGAATTGTTCTAAGTTTCTCAACAATTTTCACCCTAGAAGCTTCAGGCTACATTAGTCTATTACAGGAAAGTAACCAAATACAAACCAGGTCTCTGAGATTGTATGTAGCTCATGGAAGTAAGTCTAATGTGTTAGCAGAACAATATTGAAAGATATTAGTTTTCAGGTCTTCAGTAAAACAATCAGTTTTTTTGTTTATTTTACGTTATTGTGATCACACAATATATTGTGTGACAAGTTAATACATAGGCTGGAAGCAGAGGTAGGTGAGGCCAGTAACATAGATATGCTTTGTTTTGTGCAGAAATGTGAGAATGATTCTAACTTAGAGCATATACATTTATTTTATTTTTATTTTCTTCCAGCCACTAGTCCATGTGGGAACAATTTTATTTTATTTTACTGAAGATACTTCTCTTTGTTTATTTGGTTTGTTTAGGTTTTCAGAGAACAAATTCCAAACAATTTTAATTAAAATAACTTAAAACTCTTGTTAAAGAGTTAAACAAATGATTAAAATATACTGTTTTTTTTGTTTTTTGTTTGTTTGTTTGTTTTTGTTTTTGGTATTTTTTTGAGAAGGAGTCTCTCTTTCACCCAGGCTGTAGTGCAGTGGTGCGATCTTGGCTCACTGCAGGCTCCACCCCCTGGGGTTCACGCCATTCTCCTGCCTCAGCCTCTCACGTAGCTGGGACTACAGGCACCCGCCACCTCGCCCGACTAATTTTTTGTATCTTTAGTAGAGACAGGGTTTCACCGTGTTAGCCAGGATGGTCTTGATCTCCTGACCCAGTGATCCGCCCACCTCGGCCTCCCAAAGTGCTGGGATTACAGGCGTGAGCCACTGCGCCTGGCCAAGTATTTTGTTATTAATACTGTATGTTAACTGATTCTTTAGCTAAACAGCAATAAATGAAAAATGAGTCACTTGACTTTATGCAATTTAGAAAATGAATAAAATATCTGTTACAATATTACAAAAAAAGACAAACCTTAAAAAGAGTTTTTCATCAAAGTTCTCTTCTGCTACACATTTACAATTTAAACTTACTTCCAATGGTGATTTTTCTACATAGTAATAGATAGGCTTATGTCCAAACCACAACAAAATGCTAGTGTACTGTTTTAAAATTTGTATTTTAATATGTTTCATTAAATCATTTTTGTTTATTCCAGTATAATAATTATTATCTGGAGGAGACTTAGCTTCAAATTGTATAAAAATATATAATATGTATTTTGATCACATTGAATTAAATGCATGTTTAAATTTAGAAAATTAGAAATAGAGATTTATTTGGCCTATCATTGAAGCACCTCTCTTACCCTGTGCATGAGTCTGCTGACTGTATAAATGGGTCAGCTGTGCTTTCCTTTGGGGTTGGTATTCTTGCTTGCCTACTTAATTCCAAGGCAATAACCTGGAGCTTGATACATTACTTTAAAAAAGTATAATACCATTTCTTGACTATTTACATAAAATTATGCTTAAATACTCCCCAGTTCTGTTCATTTTGAAACTGTTTCATATTTGAAAACCCAGCCAAAATAATTTTAAAATTTTATTCCATGCCTTGAAAATAACAGTAACAACAATATAATACATTTGCAGAAAGCAAATTTGTCTAAAGAAATTTCTTTTGTCTATTTTAACATAACATATTTTATATAGAGTTCATACCCAAGAATATATTTTTATAGTGTTTGCCAATGTAAAGAAAAAAAATCCTCATAAAAGAGTTCTGTAGGAAACCATATAATAAAAGGCACAATATAACTATTACAGGATAATTCTAAGATGGTACTAAAAATATATATATGTTATGCCTGTAAGCCATGATGTTGGTAAATTGATAAACAATAGTACCATGATCATAACTAGGTATAGTTAATTACATGTCACTATCTTTCAGGTAGGTATTTAAAAACTTAATGAAAATAAACACAACCCACATAACTTTCTGAATTATTCAGAATTAACTGAGAAGATGCAAAACTGCCTGGTGCTTTCCAGAGTGTGGATAATGCATCATGATCAATAGGCAAATGCTGTCCTTAACTTGAAACTAAATTTAAGAATGCATTATTAAAGAGGCATAAAATTGGTTGGCTCCATAATTTATGCAAACATGCATGTCTGATGAGATTTGCATTGTAATAGAAAACGCAACTTATTAAATTCACAATTTTAGACAATATGAAGCTTGAAATGTTGCATGTGAAGAATCCTTGTGGTAAGAAAGAGAAGTAAATAATTTCTTAATTATTTGACTAAGTAATTACAAATCAAGCAATTTATTATCTGATCTGATTCCTTACCTTTATCAAGACCATTCAGAAGACAAATCCACAAATTCATAAACAATGAGCATTTTTGTCTGTACCATCTGAGACAATTCAGGCTGCCATAACAAAATACTATAACCAGGTGGCTTAAATAACAAACATTTACATCTCACTTCTGGATACTGAGAAGTCCAAGGTTGAAGTACCCGCAGATTCACTGAATGGCGAGGGCCTGCTTTCTGGTTAATAGCAGGTAGTCTTTTCCGTGTCCTCACATTACAGAGAGAGAGGAAGGAAGCTCTATGGCCCCTTGTAAAGACACTAATCCCATTCATATGAGTTCTACCTCATGACCTAATCTAATCCTAATCACCTACCTAAGGCCTACCTTCCAACACCATTATATTAGAGGGTCAGTCTTCAACATTTGAATTTTAGAGTGACAAAAGCATTAAGTCTATAACACATACTAAATGAAACATTTGCCACCTGCCGTTGTGAATTCATGTGGGTCTGTAGTAATCTCAATTCTTGCCTCCCCAGAAGAAAGAATTTGACTGTGGGGAGAAGGGCAGGAGGAGAGACTGAGGGAAGTTTTAGAGCAGAAGTGAACATTTATTAAAACGATTTAGAGCAGGAATGAAAAGACATACAGTTGGAAAGAACACTTGGAAGAGGGCCAAAAGGGCAACTTCAGAGATCGAGTAGAGCATTTTATTTTTGACTTAGGTCTTACACATTGGCATGCTTCTGGTGTTGCATACCTTCTCCCTTGGTTTTTCTCTAGGAATGGGTTGTCCACATACACACTGGCCTGCCAGCACTTTGATGGGGACTCATGTGCAGTGTGTTTACTATAGTTGTACACATAATCATTTAACGTGTTTTTCCCTTACCATTCTGAATATTTCTAGAAGGTTATATACCAGTTTAACTCTGCCATATTGCCTCTTAGTGTATGGCATGGCTTGGATTTGTGCCCCGGACCAAATCTCATGTCAAATTGAAGGAGGTTCCTGGTAGGGGGTGATTGGATCATTGGGGCAAATTTCATCCTTGCTGTTTTAATGACAGTGAGTGAGTTCTCAGAAGATCTGATCATTTAAAACAGTGTGGCACATCACCCTTCCTTCTCTCTCTCACCTGCTCTACCATGGTAAGATGTGTTTGCTTCCCCTTCGCCTTCTGCCATGATTGTAAGTTTCCTGAGGCTTCCCAGTCATGCTTCCTTTTGTGCTTGAAGAACTGTGAGTCAATTAAACTTCTTTTGTTTATAAATTACCCAATATCAGGTAGTTCTTTATAGCAGTCTGAGAACAGGCTAACACAGAAAATTAAAATTAAAATACAGTTTAAAGGCCTCAGAAAAAGATAGAAAGATGTGGGAAAGTTTGCAACTTTCTAGAGACTTGTTGAATGGCTTTTACCAAAATGTTGATAGTGACATGAACCATGTAGTCCAGGCTGAGGTGGTCTCTGATAGGGATGATGAACTTGTTGGGAACTCAAGGAAAGGTCACTCTTGCTCTTCTTTAGCAAACAGACTGGCAGCCTTTTTTACCCTGTCCTAGAAATCTGTGGAATGTTGTACTGGAAAGAGATGATTTAGGGTATCTGGCAAAAGCAGCAAAGCATTTGAGAAGTTACCTGGATGTTTCTGAAAGTGTATGCTCATATGCATGAAGAAAGAGATGGTCTAAAATTGGAACTTATATATAAAAGTGAAGCACAGCATAAAAGTTTGAAAAATTTGTAGCCTGACAATGCAGTAGAAAAGAAAAAGTCATTTTCCAGAAAGAAATTCAAGCCAGCTGCAGAAATTTGCCTATGTAACAAGGAACCAAATGTTAATCACCAAGACAATGGAAAAAAATATCTCCAGGGCATTACAGAGATCTTCACAGCAACCCCTCCCATCACAGTCCCAGAGGTCTAGCAGGAAAAAAATGGTTTTATGGGCCAGGCCCAGATAACTGCTGCTCTGTGCAAATTCAGAACAGGGTATCCTGTATCCCAGCCTCTCCAGCTCCAGTCACGGGTAAAAGAGGCCAAGGTACAGCTCAGGCCATTGTTTCAGAGGGTAAAAGCCCCAAGCCTTTGCAGCTTCACTGTGATTTTGGGCCTGCTGGTGGACAGAAGGCAAGAATTGAGGTTTGGGAACCTCTGGTTAGATTTCCGAGGATGCATGAAAATACTTGGATGTCAAGGCAGAAGTCTGCTGCAGGGGTGGGGTCCTCATGCAGAAACTCTACTAGGGCAGTGCATAAGGGAAATGTGGGGTTTGAGCCCCCACACAGAGTTCTCACTGAGGCACTACCTAATGGAGCTGTGAGAAGAGGGCCACTGTCTTCCTGACCCCAGAATTATAGATACACTGAGAGGTTTTAAAGATATACTCAGCAGCTTTGGTGTTGAGTGCCTGCCAGTTTTCCAGGCACAGCTTAAAGCTGGAAGGCACTTAACATCAGCTCTTGAAAGCAGCCATGGGGGCTGTTCCCTGCAGAGCCAAAGGGATGGAGCTGCCCAGGGCCTTGGGAGCCCAGCTCTTGTATCAGCATGCTCTGGTTGTGAGATATGAAGTCCAAGGAGATTATTTTGGAGTTTTAAGATTTAATGAGTGCCCTGCTGGGTTTTGAGCTTGCATGTGTCCTGTAGCCCTTTAATTTTGGCCAATTTCTTCCATTTGGAAGGGGGAGCATTTACTAAATGCCTATATCCTCATTGTAATTTGGAAGTAACTAATTTGTTTTTTATTTTACAGGCTCATAGGCAGAAGGGACTTACTTGTCTCAGATGAGACTTTGAACTGTGGACTTTTGAGTTATTACTGTAATGAGTTAAGACTAGGGTACTATTGAGAAGGAATAATTGTATTTTGCAATGTGAGAAGAACATGAAATTTGGGAGGGGCTTGGGGTATAAGAATATGGTTAAGATTTATGTCCATGTGCAAATCTCATGTTAAATTGGAGGAGGGGCCTGGTAGGAGGTGATTGGATCATGGGATAGATTCCTCCCTTGCTGTTCTCTTGATAGTGAGTGAGTTCTCATAAGATGTGATTGCTTGAAAGTGTGTGGCACCTCCCTCTTTCCTCTCTCTCTCATTCTTTACCATGATAAGATGGGCTTGTTTCCCCTTTACCTTCTGCCATGATTGTAAGTTTCCTGAGGCCTTCCAGTCATGATTTCTGTTAATACTGCAGAGCTGTGAGTCAACTAAGCCTCTTTTATAAATTACCCAGTCTCAGGTAGTTCTTTATAGCAGTGTGAGAATGGACTAATACAGTGCACATGCATGATCTCACTCTACCAACTTTTAGGTTTTTTTGGGAAGCTATGATCATCAGCTTTAGGTGTTTCTACCTATTAGGAGAGTATATTTCCCTGGTTCTGGATGCAGCCAATTATTATATTAAAGAGACAGCTTAGCAATGGCCTGACCATAACATGAGGGTCACCTGACATTCCTGGGGTGGAGGGGATCTCCTGCCTGGCTCACGTCTGACTAGCTGCCTACTGTTACATTTCCCACCTTAAAAGTCCAAGGCCCCAATTCTTTGGAGAAAATGGATGAAGGTGAGTCATATGTAAGTGCTTCCTGCTGTGAGTGAGGTTGTGGTGGTGGGTTTGTGGATCTGGGCCACTTGCGAGCTATCAGGGCAGTGTTGGCTCTGTGTTTTGGTGAAAACAGTATCTAGACATGTCCAAGGGAGATAGTTGAAGGATTTTGCCTTTGTTGTGTCCTACTGATGGGCAGTCTAGGAGTCTTCTTATCGAGGGAACCCCACCCCGAATATTTCAATGTAGATTCTTTCTATTTTCCATAAGTGTTGGCCAGTCTGAGAAATAAAGAGAAAGAGTACAAAGAGAGGACTTTTACAGCTGGGCCGCTGGGGGTGACATCACATATCGGTAGGACCATGATGCCCACCAGAGCTGCAAAACCAGCAAGTTTTTATTAAGGATTTCAAAAGGGGAGGGGATGTACAAACAGGAAGTAGGTCACATGCTTCAATGGGAAAAAGCAAAGCAAAGATCATATGCTTCTGAGGAAACAGGGCAAGGGCAAAATCAGAAACTCCTGATAAGGGTCTATATTCAGTGGTGCATGTATTGTTTGATAAACATCTTAACAGAAAACAGGGTTCAAGAGCAGAGAAATGGTCTAACCAAAAATGTACCAGGCTGGAGTTTCCCAATCCTAGTAAGCCTGAGGGTACTGCAGGAGACCAGGGTGTATCTCAGTCCTTATCTCAAACGTATAGGACAGACATCCCCAGAGCGGCCATTTATAGACCTCCCCCAGGAATGCAATTCTCTTCCCAGAGCATTAATATCAATATTCCTTGCTAGGAAAATAATTTAGTGATGTCTTCCCTACTTGCACATCTGTTTATTGGCTCTATGCAAGAAAAAAAATATGACTCTTTTTGCCTGACCCCACAGGCAGTCAGACCTTATGGTTGTCTTCCATTGTTCCCTAAAATCGCTGTAATTCTGTTCATTTTCAAGGTGTACTGATTTCATATTGTTCAAACACACAATATGATCTTTGACCAAAAGTACATTTTACAATCAATTTGTACAGTTAACACAATCATCACAGTGGTACTGAGGTGACCTACATCCTCAGCTTACAAAGATAACGGGATTAAGAGATTAAAAGAAAGACAGGCATAAGAAATTATGAAAGTATTATTTGGGAACTGATAAATGTCCATGAAATCTTCACAATTTATGTTCTTCTGGCACAGCTCCAGCCAGCCCCTCCTTTTGGGGTCCCAGACTTCCCGCAACATCCCCTGTAGAAGGATGACTCTTAAATATTGGTAAAACAGTATCCCTCACTAAAGATTATCTGAAGCTTGATGGTCCATTCCTCATATAAACTGCAGCCAGAAATAATTGACTGGTTCACAGGAATAAGCAGGGTTAGTCTAAATTTCAGACAAAAACTCAAAAACAATTGATGATGCTAGAATCTAATAACAGGTGAACCATAGTTTTTGAAACATGTTTTTTCTCTCTCCAGTCGTCATTTTTATTAAAAACAAATTATGGTAAGACTGATTTATTTAAATAATCTTTAGTCTTATTATACTTTGTCTGATTATTTGCTTAAAGCTCAGCAAGAATAATTATTTGCCATATAGGCTCCTTTTTAAATTGGTATTGATGGAACTTTGTTCCATTGGAAATCTTAGATGTGACTATTTTAAAGCCTTGAGCCCAGCCATAGGTTTGTGCCACTGAATATTTGTATGATTTCCATAAATTCCTCTCTCCTGAGGTCCCAAGATGACTTGGAGCTCCTGAGACTCTCAGAAACTGAAATTCTTTACTAACCATAGGTATGAAACCCTGCACAGGGATTGTGTATCCAAGGGGCTTTTATTACCTTGATAAGTAACATTTTATTTCTTAAAGGCAAGCACACAATTCCAGTTGAAGTCTTGGTAAAATAAACAGTTTTTCCCATTGTGTCCTGTTGCAAAGGTGTGCTTATTATTGTACTATGCAAATAACTATATTGCCCTAAGTAAAGAATACTCACAATTAGTTTCCAAATTTTGGAGAGAGTAGAGAGAAATATGCTGCAAATTTTGTTTATGAGTATACTTTACTTAATTGCTAAATGCTCTAAATAGCTCAAAAGAAAAGTTTTCTTGGCTTTGAAAAACAAATGTAAGATCAGCAATGTTTCAACCAAACAGTCATGAAAGGATTATTTTTGTCTTTTATTAGTTCAGTACATGCAGTTAACTCCTGTTCTGCTAGATATTCATGAACAATTCAGCTCTCCATGAGTCTCCTGAAAGTTTTTTCCTCTATTCTAATGCCACAACAAGCAAAGTTATTAGAAACCTGCATATAAGAGCATCTGTTAGAGTCATACAGCTGATCATAAAATTATTTTTTAAAGGGGACTAAAATATGATGACAATTGTCTGTGGATGCTGAAACATTTTAAGGCAGCCACAATCAAAGACACAATTGACAAGAAAATTTGTTACCTCTGTTACAAACAATAATTAAACAGTTATAATGATTACTGACAACATATACTAATACATATCAGAATTATAGCATTGTTGCCTAATTTTGGAACACATGCTGATAACACATTTATGCAAATACAGCCCAAAGAAGGCCTGATTTTTATCTTTGCATTTGTGTAATATTGATGTCAAATCCAGTTCTTAATAAAATCTCATAGACAAACCTATTCCATCTTAATCAGTTTGACCATAAGGTGAGATTCTCATATACCTTTTACAACCCTTTACAATTTTCTCTTAAAGAGCAGAACAATGCTCTAAGAAAACTATGTTGTACTTTTATTTTGATGTTCAGTTTATGAATAAATAATACCCCTTTAACTTTAGCCAATATGATTACATAACACACAGAGTTTCTTTCACAAATTCATCTTCACATAACTCCCACAACTTGGTTAAATCTTTAACTTTATCCTATCTAAATTAAAACAATCTTTTAACCATCTAAATTAGGCAAAATATTTCACATTTCCATGCCTTCTTATAATCTTTGACCAAAATTACATTTTACTTGCCTTACATGCCTTGTATGTAAAACTATTTTTCCAGTAGTGTCTAATACATGTTACTCTGTTGACTCTTAGCTACATTTACTTTTGGTGAAAATCTGTTGAATAAGTGATCCTAATTATGTACTAGATGTGGAGCGTAGTACACCAGACAGAAGTGCAGATAAGGTCTGACTCTTTCCAACATAACTAAGGGGCATTGCTGTCTCTGCATGTCCCCACCTTACCTAGGTTTAAAGCAGGCAAGTTGTACAGTCAAGAGAAGTTTATAATATTTTATAACCTTAAAGCATTTATTAGACCTAATAGCCTTTAAAACTGTACAATTTTAATAAATTATCTTTCACAAATCTAGTCACGACTTACAAAGACTGTCTACAACATGCCTGGACTTTCTGAATTGTCCTAAACATCCATCTTTCTAAATAACCAGTCATTTTACTTTAGGGCAAGAATTTACCATAAAAGATATGTTCTCATATAAAATTTCTTTATAACCTCCTTTATCAAAAATACCTCTTTAACTTTATAAACTTTGAATTAGACAAAAGTAATTTTCTTTCTGTTAGGAAGTTAAGGTTTGTACTGCATGTTGCTGTATGAGTCCTGTGAAAGGGGACCAGATAAGGAGGTCATCTATGTATTGTAGACTTTATCCTCCCTCAAGAGATTGCTTGGTTAGATTTTTGGTAGGATTTGTCAAATAAGTGTGAGCTATTTCTAAACCCCTGAAGTAGGACTGTCCAGGTTATTGGCTAAAGATTTAGGCAGCTTTCCCAGGGGAAACACGGTTATTATAGGAAAATATGTATTTAGACCTTGGGTAAATATTAAGCAGGCACCTCTCTTGGAAAGCATATTTTTGCCCCAAAGGGGTGTGAATTTTTTCTTTTGATGGGAGGGGCTACCATTTGCCTCTGTTACATAATAGGATTTGGAGGCAGTTGCTTAGAGAAGATTAGCACAGAGTAGGCGGCTCTTGAAACCAAAAGGGGAATTTATAATTTTACTTGCTGCCTCCAGAGTTCTCCTTGGCTTTGTTCTGTTGATAATTATGTCCAATTTAGAAGCCAGCCATAGCAGACCGCCCTTCAGCTCAAGACCATCAGGGATTGGGAATCTGTCCCATGGGCCCTTTGGCCCTCAGGGAAGTCCTGTTTCCAGTGGCTGAGCTTCTGGCAGAGAGGATGAGATATGCAGGACTTTTTCCCATTTATCTCACTGGGGCAATTTGCCTTACAGTTACCTGCAGGAGTGTCCCTAGACATACCTGGACAGGGCTGGTGGGCTGACAGAGCAGCCAGTAATCAAACCTGCCTCTTCTTTCTGCATTTCTCCTTTTCTTTAGCTCTGTGTTCCTTGTCCTGATCTTGGTTATAAAAGACTGAGGCAGCTAATTTAAGGATTTCCTGCACAGGGGCACTGAGTTCCAAGACTGACTTTTGTAAATTCCTCCCCGTTCATTTCTACGCTGAATAATATTACAAAGGAAAACTAGTTTTTTGTTTGTTTGTTTTAAGGTGTGAGGCAATCATACTTTTCCCAGTTTTGGGAGATGGATCCGAGGAGCTTGTCCTGTGTTGTGGAGGCAAAATTATGCATCTGTGAGGAGAGAAGAGAGGGAAAAAAAAAGGAAAAACAAACCAAGAAAGTATGCCTTTTTACTTTCCTATTATCCTGAATAGGGCATACTCCATTCACCCTTAAGGTTCTAGAATGAACCAGTCTTACTATGTATCTATAACCTTGCCTTTATCTCTATTCTAATATGGTAATCTGTTAGCCTGGGAGAAACCTCCATCTCTGTCCTATGAGTCTCTTGCTCCTGTCGCTTTGGGCTGGCCTATATGCTTGTCTCCATGACTTTATAGTGACTCTTGCTCAGAGCATAGTAGCAATAAAATGATTATCTCTTCTTTCATATTCCCATTTCCCACGTTCTTTCAGTAGACAAGAAACCTATTTTTCAGCTAACTGCCACAAGGCTCTGGGACTTCTGTCCCTTCAAATGTAACCTTCAAGGTCTTGATGCATGTTGGGAAGGCCATGGAAGTAGTTAGAGAAATGAAGCTACAGGGGGAAGTGGGAGAAATCAAGAGAAATACTCATGGAAGCCTTCATATCCTTGTAAGAAAAACATCCCTTGAATTAGAGAGGCAAACATTTATTTGCTCTTGACATAAACTAGTAACCTCAGGAGGACTAAGAGCTTAGGGTGAGAACTCGTAAATTGCAAAAGAGGAATTTCACTTCCTCTCAAAGGGGTGCTTTAATAACTCAAAAAAAAAAAAAGTAAGTTGATGAGATCCTTAAATGGCCAGAGAGTGAGGCTCTATGCAGGTGGACAAATGCTTCAAAAGCCAAGACAAACTTGGCCCTTGGGTGTAAAAGTAATGAAAAGCATATGGTAAGTCATAAGAAGCTGGCAGAGCTGGGGTTCCAATTAGTGTCAGTCCCAGCAATGTGCCAGCAGACAGGGGAAGTGTTGAAGGTCATCTGAGCCTGTAGGGTAAAAATAAGTATAAATCTCAGTGGATATTTTAAGGGAAGCTTTGTCTTTGCTGCTGCACAAACACAAGAGCTGTGTGTACAAAAATAACAGGGATTGTGAGTTTACAAAGTCACATGTCATGCAAAGCAAAAGCAAAGAGGCAGACTCACATCCAAGGTGGACAGTCTGGTGGGTGCATAAGGCCATTTCAGGATACACACAGAGAAAACACGAGAATAAGCAGTGTGAGGTTTTGGGAAAGAGCCAATTTTAGTTAAAAAATGGAGGAAAAACTGGACATTGCACAATGTTAGACATTAGCCCTACCATTCTTGCGAGCCTCTTGTGCAGGAGGATGATTAGTGTCTCCGTCCTGCTCAATGTGGACTCCAAGTTCTTTCCCACCCCTAAGAAACACCCATCAGGATGAGCTGAGAGATCAGCCAGAAGGAGCAGAGCTTCCTTGGCTGAGATAAATTGTTCTAGGGTCAGGAGAGTGAAAGGGGAGAAGAAAAACACATACAGGGGTTGAACTCCTCCAGCTGAAGAAGAGGCATAGAGGAGACTTACCACTGGGGAATGTATCTGAGTTACACAGCACCAAAGGATGTTACTGTGGCAAATCCATATAGGTCTGTAGCAACTTCAGTTATTGCCTTCTCACAAGAAAGAATTTGACTGCGGGACATAAGACACAAGGAAAGATCATGTCAAGTTTTAGAGCAGGAGTAAACATTTATTAAAAAGCTTCAGACCAGGAATTAAAGGAAGTAAAGTACACTTGGAAGAGGACAAAGTAGGTGACTTGAGAGATCAAGTGGTCAGTTTGACCTTTGACTTGGGGTCTTACACATTGGCATGCTTCTGGGGTTGCATTGCTTCACCCCGATCCTCCCTTTGGGTGGGCTGTTTGCATTTGCAGTGGCCTGCCAGCACTTGGGAGGGGCCGCATGTATAGTTTGTTTACTGGAGTTGTACATATCGTCACTTGAGATGTTCTTCCCTTACCAGTCCAAATGTTTCTAGAAGGTCATATACAAGTTAAATTCTGCCATTTTGCCTCTTAGTGCACATGAGTGATTCCACTCACGTAACTCTTGAGATTTTATTGGGAGGCTACTGATCACCAGTTTCAGGTGTTTCTATCTATCTATTGGGAGACTGTCTTTCCCTGGCACTGACTGTGACAAATTAATGTTTTAGAGAGAAAGTTACCAACTGCCTAACCATCACTTGATGGTTGCCTGACATTCCTGATTGTGCTGGGGGCCTTCTCTTGTCCTGCTCAAGTCTGACTAGCTACCTACTGTAACACTACCTTGACAATTTCCATGCCTAAATTTGATTTACTTAAACCTGCTTATTAAACTGTATTGGTCATGGTCTATATTTACTGACTTAAAACTCTGAAAGGCAAATTTATTTTTGGTATTTATTCTTAAAGAGGCTGGAAAATGCTAGATTAATAAATTATGCATGCTGCATAATTTGCATCATTTTGAATATTTAAAAAGTAGATTCGAATGTGTGCATGAAAGTAGGTTGAATTTTAATTTAAAAATTTCTTAAGTTTTTATTTGATATATGAGTTTTAGTGATTTCAAACATTATATTATGATTTAATAATGTTAATGAAACAATAACTTACCAAGAGAAATTAATTCTTCAGTGAAAATTATACTTCTAATATACCCATATAAAAACATAAAACTATCTTAGTTTCCTAGAAAGAAAATAGAAGAAAAGCAAAAAAATGTATTTAATATGTTATTTAATATGTATTTAATATGTTAAATGTAGTTAACATGAAGTTGGTGGTTACACTTATCTGCAGAGGGTCATTCCCCTTATTCTCTGAATACTTTGGTTTTTTACTTACTGTTCCCATCTCCAGACCTACTCCTATTATTATTACTGCCATTTCAATTTCTATTTAGGTGCTCTTTCTCATAACCTAAGCTTTTCTCCTCAGATGACTTTGTCCTTCACCTTGACTTGGTCACTAGTTCTCATGGGTATACTACTGATCTGCTTATTACCACCTGAAACCCCTTTGTAAACTCAAGTGTGAATCTCATTCTTTGCTCATCACCTGTTGTTTTTCCATCTCCGTGCCTGTAAAAACCATCGTCTTATAACCATTAAGCCGCGCAAGTATTTTAGTTCTACTCATCTCACCTACCCACTTTAGTGTACCATTGCTCACAACCTCATTTCTCTCCTTACCTAACTTGGAGTCAGATCTTATCATTATAATCATTTACTCATATTTATACTCAAATATTTTGCCCATTTTCTCGATTTGCCTGGAAAGAAACAGATCCAATTCAGTCCAACATTCTACTTTCTCTGAAACATTAACACACAAATGAACATGACTGGAGAGAAACATGCAGTTGTGCTGATTATTCTTTGAAATTTATAGGGCATCATATTGGTCCTTGACCATTTTTCATGAATCATATTATAGTTAATTCATTTGTTAACTATCCCACTCCCACAAAAATTCCGAATCTTCTATTTAACAAGCAAAATTTCAAAAGGCTGTGAAAATGAGAAGATTTTATAACTCATTTGGTTATAAAACTTGCCCTGACCAGACCTAAATTCATTGGCAAGAAAACCTAACTGAAACTGATGTATAGCTATTTTTATCCTAATTAGTAGGAATATTCATATATTCCCCACAGACCTATTAATATTTTGATTACAGCATGTTACTTAAAACCTCATTGTGGTTTTACTTAATATATAAAGTATACATCACAGCTTTACCTACCTATGATCCAAATACGTTCTTATTTCATAATACATCTAGCTGCAAAGGTCTTGGATAAAGGATTGCGGACCTCTTATCTGCCTTCACATTACACTATATTTCTATAAGAAAATTGTGCTTCTAAATAAGATTTGCATCTCTGCTTGTGTATTAAAAGGGCAAATACAAATTTAAAATAAAAGGCTTAATTCTCCCCTTTGAAAATAAGAGAAGATGCTTTGCCTCCCTTTTTTTAGACCATTTCCTTTAGGGCACCTGTAAGTTCTTTCTCTGTATTTTTAAAATGTATGTAAATCTTTTTAAATGCTAAATAAGCTGCTTTCCAGCTTTAAGACACAGAAATGTCTTTCTCAAGATCCTGGAGCTATCTATTTGAAATATAATCATTAAGGAATAGAGCACCCCAGTCTTAAAGGGTCTGTGGGAAGGTAAGATCCTAACTTCAAGTTCTGAAAGTACCTCCTGTAATAACAATACAAGTTTATTTTTAGTTTGGATAAAGCCAATTAGCAAACACAGATGGCCAAACCAATTGCCAGGTGAATCTAGGATGAATTTAGTGTGATAAATGCTGCTTTCAATTTCTCTTACTTGAGGACTAGCTATTGTTTATCCTGAGAAATTGTATGTCAATGGGTTGTCTCTGTGTGACTATATGAAAGGGTAGAATTTCTTTCTAGATGAAGGTTATTCAATAATAAAATTATTTTATTTCTCTTCTGCTTTTGTGAAGAGGTGTTCAGAGTTGGGTGAAGATTTTGTTTTTAATTCTATTTCCCCAATACCAGCCCCATTTTAACTTGAATGTTCAAAGACATTGCCCCGGCAATTTTTCTTTCTCCTTCGTGCCTTTGTAAGTCTTTTTCCATACTTCATCTTTCTCATTAGCACCAGCTTCTTTCATCTTGATCTTACCTGTTTTCAAACAAAAATCTTGTGTTTTTGAATAAATTTACTCCTTTCAAAATCAGGCATTCTTCCCCTTGTGTATCATTTCCACTAGGCCCTCTAATTAAGCTTTTGACCTTGCCACTCGACGAATTGTTTTTATTAGGATCAGGGATACTCTACAACCATAAAAACTTAGTCTTCACATTTTTTTTTGTTTTACTATTAGCAGTCTTCGACAGAAAGGATTACTCCCTCTAGCTTGAAAGTGTCTTCTTGATTTTAGGACACCATCTGACTTTTTTTCTACTACTAGCCCTCCATCTAGTGCTTTTCATTCTCCTTTAAAAGTTCTTTATCTCTCAAACTTTAAACTCTGGAGTACCCGGAGAATCAGACTTGAATTCCTAATCAAGCTGTCCTACTTCCACTTTCCTGATAGCTGTATTCAAGCTCATAGCTCAAGATTTCACCTCACACTGATGCCTCCCAAATATATTTCTCAAGTTTGAAATACTCTCCTCAAATTCAGACACATTTCTAGCAGCTTATCTGACATCTCTTAATATCTAATAGATCTTTATGTGTCTAAAATGAGGTGCTCTACTTCTCCTAAAACTTGCTTCTCCTGAAGATCTTCCAATAGAAGTAAAATACAACTGATATATAATGTTTATTGGCTCTTCTGATTATTTCAAATTTAATCCCCAATCCATGAAGAAATCTTGTGAGAGATCTACCTAGATCTACATATTTAACATCTAAATCTGTATACTTAGTGTATACATCTAAAAATCCATGCATCTAAATTTCTGGAATCTAAAATCTAAATATATCTAAAACCCTACCACTTTTTACCTCACCTTTAGTTATCATCTTGTACCAAGTCATCATCATCATTGACAGATATTATTCTATTGCCTTTCTACAGTCTATTTATAAGATGTATCCTTCCAATGTGTTAATCTGTACAACAGCGAATTGTCCTCACAAAGACTTGCAAGAGCTTATAATATTTTGCACTGTATTAAAATTTTGAAATTATCAACTATATTCCCTTCACATTTATCTTCTTTCTAAATTTTTTAACATGTCAGGCATTTCATACAACTTTTTCCTTGGACATAGCATGCCCTTCCTCTGAATTAATGCTTGACTAATTCCTTAGCTTTCTTCAGGGCTTTATACAAATATATCACTTCATTAGAAATGACTTTCCAGAATGTTGCATACAAACTTAAACATGTTTCTTCTGGTGTGTTATTTCTCTAAACCCACAAAGTGGACAGAACTTGTAAATAACTATGCCTATTTCTCAACCTTTACCTATATATTTCTATATCTGTCTTTATTAAAATCTATGAGTTCACCATGATACCCCCAATTCTAAGTGTTGTGGTACATTGGTATTCCTTTGTGGTATAATACATGTGGTATTCCTTTCCATATTTGTAACTCACTTCTCTAACAGTAAGAGATCTGTCTCCAATTATTCATTATTCATTATTCATTCTCTCTCTCACACACACACTCTCTCTTTCTATAGATAGATAGCTTCAGAATCGCTGACAGCACAGCTAAATTGAAAACAATTAAATTTCAATATTTTACAGTGACATTTAACTTAAGTATATTTTCAGTGAAATGCACAAATTTTATGTGTTCAATTGGAGGAGTGTTGACAAATGTGTATGCTTATGTAACCAGCCTTTATCAAAATGTAGAACAAACACAGTCTCAGAAATTCCTCCTCTTCTCTTCCAGTTAACATACCCATACCCAAGGCAAACACTTTCTAATTTCTTTAAAACTATATGTTAGTTTGCTTCTTCTAGAACTTTGTACAAAGAGCATTGCATAATATGTCTTCTTTTCACGTGTGCTTGGACTCTTTCAGCATAATTTCTGCTAGATTCATGCATGGTGTTCCATTTTTTGGCAAATTTGATCTTTTTTACCATTAAATAAAAATATAACCATCTTTTCACTATTCTTGATGAGGAATGTTGAAGGAGTTTCTAGTGCTTATATTATAAATATAGCTATTATGAATATCTTTGAAGATATTTTTAGAGGACATGGATTTTCATTTCTCTTAGAAAACTACCTAGGTGTAGAATTTTGTTTTATTATACTTTAAGTTTTAGGGTAATGTGCACAACTTGCAGATTTGTTACATATGTATACATGTGCCATGTTGGTGTGCTGCACCCATTAACTCTTCATTTAACTTTAGGTATATCTCCTGATGCTATCCCTCCCTCCTCCCCCCACCCCACAACAGGCCCCAGTGTGTGATGTTCCCCACCCTGTGTCCATGTGTTCTCATTGTTCAATTCCCACCTATGAGTGAGAACATGAAGTGTTTGTTTTTTTTGTCCTTGTGATAGTTTGCTGAGAATGATGGTTTCCAGCTTCATCCATGTCCCTACAAAGGACATGAACTCATCATTTTTTATGGCTGCATAGTATTCCATGGTGTATATGTGACACATTTTCTTAATCCAGTCTATCATTGTTGGACATTTGGGTTGGTTCAAAGTCTTTGCTATTGTGAACAGTGCCACAATAAACATACGTGTGCATGTGTCTTTATAGCAGCATGATTTATAATCCTTTGGGTATATACCCAGTAATGGGATGGCTGGGTCAAATGATATTTCTAGTTCTAGATCCCTGAGGAATCGCCACACTGTCTTCCACAATGG
This sequence comes from Homo sapiens, assembly GCF_000001405.40. NCBI lineage: Eukaryota > Metazoa > Chordata > Mammalia > Primates > Hominidae > Homo > Homo sapiens. The sequence continues at coordinate 164,136,469 of NC_000003.12, read as the reverse complement.
TTGAACTAGTTTACAGTCCCACCAACAGTGTAAAAGTGTTCCTATTTCTCCATATCCTCTCCAGCACCTGTTGTTTCCTGACTTTTTAATGATCGCCATTCTAACTGGTGTGAGATGGTATCTCATTGTGGTTTTGTTTGCATTTCTCTGATGGCCAGTGATGATGAGCAGTTTTTCATGTGTCTTTTGGCTGCATAAATGTCTTCTTTTGAGAAGTGTCTGTTCATATCCTTCGCCCACTTTTTGATGGGGATGTTTTCTTCTTGTACATTTGTTTGAGTTCATTGTAGATTCTGGATATTAGCCCTTTGTCAGATGAGTAGATTGCAACAATTTTCTCCCATTCTGTAGGTTGCCTGTTCACTCTCATGGTGGTTTCTTTTGCTGTGCAGAAGCTCTTTAGTTTAATTAGATCCCATTTGTCAATTTTGTCTTTTGTTGCCATTGCTTTTGGTGTTTTAGACATGAAGTCCTTGCCCATGCCTATGTCCTGAATGATATTGGCTAGGTTCTCTTCTAGGGTTTTTATGGTTTTAGGTATAACATTTAAGTCTTTTATCCATCTTGAATTAATTTTTGTATAAGGTGTAAGGAAGGGATCCAGTTTCAGCTTTCTACTTATGGCTAGCCAGTTTTCCCAGCACCATTTATTAAATAGGGAATCCTTTCCCCATTTCTTGTTTTTCTCAGGTCTCTCAAAGATCAGATGGTGGTTGATATGCAGCATTATTTCTGAGGGCTCTGTTCTGTTCCATTGGTCTATATCTCTGTTTTGGTACCAGTACCGTGCTGTTTTGGTTACTGTAGCCTTGTAGTATAGTTTGAAGTCAGGTAGCATGATGCCTCCATCTTTGTTCTTTTAGCTTAGGATTGACTTGGCAATGCAGACTCTTTTTTGGTTCCATATGAACTTTAAAGTAGTTTTTTCCAATTTTGTGAAGAAAGTCATTGGTAGCTTGATGGGGATGGCATTGCATCTATAAATTACCTTGGGCAGCATGGCCATTTTCATGGTATTGATTCTTCCTACCCATGAGCATGGAATGTTCTTCCATTTATTTGTTTCCTCTTTTATTTCATTGAGGAGTGGTTTGCAGTTCTCCTTGAAGAGGTCCTTCACATCCCTTGTAAGTTGGATTCCTAGGTATTTTATTCTGTTTGAAGCAATTGTGAATGGCAGTTCACTCATGATTTGGCTCTTTGTTTGCCTGTTATTGGTGTATAAGAATACCTGTGATTTTTACACATTGATTTTTGTATCCCGAGACTTTGCTGAAGTTGTTTATCAGCTTAAGGAGATTTTGGGCTGAGACAATGGGGTTTTCTAGATATACAATCATGTCATCTGCAAACAGGGACAATTTGACTTCCTCTTTTCCTAATTGAATACCCTTTATTTCCTTCTCCTGCCTTATTGCCCTGGCCAGAACTTCAAACACTATTTTGAATAGGAGAGGTGAGAGAGGGCATCCCTGTGTTGTGCCAGTTTTCAAAGGGAATGCTTCCAGTTTTTGCCCATTCAGTATGATATTGGCTGTGGGTTTGTCATAGATAGCTCTTATTATTTTGAGATACATCCCATCAATACCTAATTTATTGAGAGTTTTTAGCATGAAGTGTTGTTGAATTTTGTCAAAAGCCTTTCCTGCCTCTATTGAGATAATCATGTGGTTTTTGTCGTTGGTTCTGTTTATATGCTGAATTACATTTATTGATTTGTGTATGTTGAACCAGCCTTGCATCCTAGGGATGAAGCCCACTTGATCATGGTGGATGAGCTTTTTGATGTGCTGCTGGATTCGGTTTGCCAGTATTTTATTGAGGATTTTTGCATCGATGTTCATCAGGGATATTGGTCTAAAATTCTCTTTTTGTGTGTGTGTCTATGCCAGGCTTTGGTATCAGGATAATGCTGGCCTCATAAAATGAGTTAGGGAGGATTCCCTCTTTTTCTATTGATTGGAATAGTTTCAGAAGGAATGGTACCAGTTCCTCCTTGTACCTCTGGTAGAATTCGGCTCTGAATCCATCTGGTCCTGGACTTTTTTTGATTGGTAAGCTATTAATTATTGCCTCAATTTTAGAACCTGTTATTGGTCTGTTCAGAGATTCAACTTCTTCCAAAACCCTTCAAAAGTCAATGAATCCAGGGGCTGGTTTTTTGAGAAGATCAACAAAATTGATAGACTGCTAGCAAGACTAATAAAGAAGAAAAGAGAGAAGAATCAAATAGACGCAATAAAAAGTGATAAAGGGGATATCACCACCGATCCCACAGAAATACAAACTACCATCAGAGAATACTATAAACACCTCTACGCAAATAAACTAAAAATTCTAGAAGAAATGGATAAATTTCTCAACACATACACCCTCCCAAGTCTAATCCAGGAAGAAGTTGAATCTCTGAATAGAACTAGGTGTAGAATTTCAATGCCATAGGGTAGCTTTTAATTTTAAACACAGCATCATTTTTTTTCTTCCATTCTGCTCATGTAATTTTACTGTTCCACCACAAGTCTTTAAGAGTTCTAATTGCTGTTCCTACTTGCCAACATTTGGTGTTGTTGGAGTTTTAACATTTGGTTAAACTTGCAGTTTTGACGTGACATTTTTACTGTGGTTTTAATTTAAATTTTCTTGATGAAAAATGATGTCTATTTTCTTAGTTTTTGTTTGTTTGTTTGCCGGTTTTTATATCTCACTTTTGCTGATTTAAAGCATGGACTTGTTTGTCATTTTATTATTGTCATCCACTTGTTTAAATATATATTATATATATGAAATTTAAGTCTTTTGTGAGATACAAATTTTGTAAACAATTTTCTTATAGTTTGTGTTTTTTGTTCAGGTCTGCATTTCCATGTAAATCATAGATTCAGCTTGTCAAGAATTTTATAAGAAAATTCTGCTGGGATTATAATTGTGATTACTTTGAATATGTAGACTAATTTTGGGAGAATTAACATTTTTAAATATGGAGTCTTCTGATCTATGGTCATGATGTATTTCCCCAATAAAATTTAGTTCTCTATATTTTCCATCAAAATAATTTTGTGGTTTTCCATTTATAGGTCTTTCACTTACTTTATTAAATACATTTCTAAATATTTAAGTGGTTTAGTTCTATTAAGATTAAAAAATATTTTTATTTTGAAGTCATTATCACCCCATGGGAAATTATGGAAAGAGTGCAAAGTGTCCAGCATCTTCCAATGATGACAGTTTTATAGCTCCAGTAATATTGAAACCAAAAAAAAAATGTGTACAGACAATAGACTGTATTCAATTTTCATCATTTTAACCCTATATTTTGTATATATAGGCATGTATAGTTCTATTCAGCTTTATTCCAGGTGTCGGTTTATGTGATCACCACAAAAATCAAGATACAGAACTGTTCCATTACCACAAAAAGGAACTCTTTCATGTCATCCTTGGTTCCATGGCTACCACTAATCTGTTTTCTGTCTCTATAGTTTTGTTCTTACAAGAATGTTATATAGATAAAATCACACAATATCATGTTTTTAAATTATATTGAAATAATCTTAGGAATTGGTGGGAGTGAAAAGAGGTAAAGATGAAAAAAGTTTAAGTTGATAATTGTCAAAGCTGAGTGAGGGATTATTAAGAGTTCATTACACTATACACTTTACTTTGGAATATGTCTGATATTTCCTTTAATGATAATACAATTAAAAGCTATCAAAGTAAAGATACAAATGTTTAAAGTAAATAATATGCAGGATAGAAGAAGGTGAGAAGAATACTTTTCAAATTCTGGAAATATATGAGAGAAAAATTATAAGCAGTGTCAAAAGCGGAGAGAAAACAACCAGAAAAATTAAACCAGCATGACTGAAACATCTGTAAAGGGTGTATACTTAACTTTATTTAGTAATTTTTAAAATGAGATAAAAATCAATTATATAAAATTATAATGCAAAATGTTTATGAGAAATAGCTAAATATATACTAAATAAGCTTAACTGGTGATCTTGAAGAAACAAATGCAAAAACAAAATTAATTTATCATATGCACATCATAGACTCCACAGTTTCCAATAGTTATAATTGCAGTAAAATTTACTCTTAATACAGTATATAAAATAGAGTTATATATAATTATAAATATATTATTAATACAAATACTAGATTCTGAATGTAGAACATATGTAGGGAAAGATTGGCCAATATTGAGGTACCTTTGAAATGGACAGCAGTGATTTAAAAATAACATTTTCTTTAAGGGTAACTTCAGGCCAACTGAATTGTTATTTTCATTTAAATGATAGTACCTACTCTTTGGATTCATGATCCACTGGAACCGAACAGTGATATAAATTTCCCTTAGGATCATTACTGTAAAGCAATGTATTCCAATAAAACTTTCTGCAGTGATGAAAATGTTCTATGCCTGTGCTGTCCAATATCTTAACCACTAGGCACATGTGGTTATTGAGCATGTGAAATCTTGGCTAGTGTAATTGAGGAATTGCATTTTTATTTAGTTTAATTTAACTAATATAAATTGAAACATTGATGTGTGGTGATCTACGTTATTGGACAGCACAGACAGGTCTAGTGGAATCTAACACTACCCTACTTTCATTAAGTCTATTTCAGCCACCTCGATTTTGGGATTGGTCATGAACCTAACTTTATTTTATTTTGTGCTTGAATTCCTTAAAATTTCATACTGTTAAGATTTTATTGCAAAAGTCCTCCTTATTTTCTTCTCCCACATGCCTAAATGCAATCCTCTGGCATTTCATATGTATATTACTGAGTTGTTGCCTAAAAAGAATGCCTGTGGCAAAATTTATATAGCTATGCCTGTATGTTACATATAGTCATAAGAAGAAAAAAAATTAGTCAACAAATGAAATATCACCTAAGTCTTTTTCTGAAGGGGAAACAATGTCCATACTTACTCTGAAAAATTGGGAAGAAAAATAAAAAAATCTTAGACTTATGACAATGACTCTATCCTACTTGAGTAGAGCTCTTGACATCTAAGTGGATAAATTGGTCTACATCCTTGAGTGATATATTAGAGCAGTTTTAAACCAACCTTATACAATTTGGCTGAAGGAAGACACTCAACCCATGGGAATTTTGAAAGAGTTTAAGCATGCAAAACTTACATTCTGCTATGATTGCATTTTTAAATGTGCTCATTACTTACACTCGGCGCAGATATAAGAGGCTAATTACCATACTTAAAGGAAAGCATGGTTGAGTTTCAACTTCCCAGTCTACCTGCATCATCAGGCAGAAACCTGATTAAACAGATGGGCCTCACCCCATGACCCTCAAAATCAGTACTGAGAATTTGGAGAAACAAGAAAAGAAAGTGCTAAAATTGTTCATTCATTCTTCATGGAAAAAGCCCTAAGGCACCTAAATCAGTTGCTATTGAATCAGCATTACACTTTGAATCAAAAAGAGCAACATTGCAAGGAAGCTTTATTAGGATTCCTTAAAATCTTGAAATATAATGTTCATTATTTATTTTAGTACACTAATCTCATGGATTTAAGAGTATTCAAACCCACATTTCCCTAAAAAGCTATTTTATAATTGAGTTGGACTACAAACTAAGATGAAGCATAGATATGAACCACACTAAAAGTAACAATTTAAAAACTTAAAGATGCCTTATTATAAAAAGCAAAGAGCAAAAATATCATGCATGGGGTCCTGCTTTTAGTTTATACATGGCTTCAAATTCTTAATAGCAGCTTAATTTCATATGGATAAGTATTTCACAAGTTAGGAGTAGACTTTCTGATTCTGATTATTATCAGTTTTTAGTACCAAACTAGAAATGATACCTTCTCAGGTAGTTTAAATTAAAAAAATTATAAGCCTAGTTACGTAAACTATTCAGAAATAACCCTTGTTAAAATTTCATTAACTTTCTCACAAAATTGCAGATTAGAGTCACAACAACTTTTTAACCTTCATACATAGATATCAACCTCCAAACTTATATGTACATACATACATACACACATACACACATACATAAATGTGTGTGTATTCTTATATCCCTAGATTGTTTGGGGTAACAAGATCAGAGCACACAGATTAATAAAATATCTTTAGAGATTTCAATAAGAGTTCCAAATGCTGTTACATATTTTTTTCTGATTTACATATTCATTTATCTCTACTTTCATTTACTCATTTATGAATTCATTTATTTAGCATAAATTATTAAATGTTTTCTCTCTCAGATATATGGTAGGTCCTCAGAATAGAAAAAATGAATGTTACTCTCTTTGTGCTGGAGAAGCAGTCAATTTTGAATACATAATTACTATAAACAGCATGATCTGGTATATTCCCTGAAGAGTAATATAATATGTACTGTAAGAGAAATATAATATGTACTTTCTTCTTAAAAGAAAATTATATGCTAATTAAATTGCTTATATGAAGTTTGCAGTGCTTTTTTGAACATGTGACTTTTATGAGCTTTCAAGTTATATTTGAGTCTTGTTAAAACATTGCAGTACAAAATGTGATATGTTAAAACAAAAATACCATATACAGAGTCTATAAGGAACAAAATGAATATTTGGAAATCATTTAATTTAGTAATCCTACTTTGTTTCTTTGAGAAAAATTTCACACTCTGAATAACTCACAATTATATCTATTTGTAAAACTTATACTAAAAAACACTAGCTAATATAGTTCCTTAAACCTTTACAACATTTTTTTCTTACAGAGAATATGGTTTATTTTTTCTGTTTCTATTTTACAATTATTTAGTTAAATGTAGAAAAGTGTTGGATATACAACAGACATTTATAAAATAACTATTTGATGCAGAAATTGATTATTCTTCATCTTCTATCCTGCACTGGCCAGTGCACTGAGTTGTCAAATGTCAAATATTCAATAATGTGACTAACATCAGTCCTACATCTTGTGAAAGCAGATAGAAAGATATGGCTAACTCAGCACACTTGAATTGTTATAAATTGCTTACTATACTTGGTGCTGCATATGTGATAGATCCGTGGAGTGGGGAGAACTACGATTACATTGTTAGTCACAACTTTTGGGCTTAGCCTCAATGTATTCTCTTAATGATCTGAGATTAAGGATTTTGTTTTATTGTTTTAGACAAAGTCAGAAATATGTTCCAGTCTGAAACAAAACTCAATGGCCTAGTCTTCTTTCACTCACTGAGCTCACAAGTTAACCTTAAATCTACATTTTCTCTACATGAATTCAACCAATTTTTTAAAGCATCGACTGTTGACTTACTTAACCAGGCATTGAGGTCACAGACCAGTATTCCTCGTATAATGCATTCATTCTCTAGAGAAGCTAGAGTTTGCCACTCAAAATGGCAAGAAGAAAACAGAAGGAAAAATTCATCCCTTCGTGGTTGCTTCTCCCTTTTGGCCAGGCACCCTGCCTCAGGCCTGTAACCCCAGCACTTTGAGAGGTCGAGGCAGGCGACTCACTTGAGGCCAGTAGTTTGATACCAGCTTGGCCAACATAGTGAAACCACCTCTCCAGTAAAAAAAAAAAAAAAAAAATTAAAAATTAGCTGAGCTTGTTGGCACAGGTCTGTAATTCCAGCTACTTGGGAGACAGAGTCATGAGAATCACTTGAATCCGGGAGGCGGAGGTTGCATTGAGCCGAGATGATGCCACTGCACTCCATCCTGGGTGACAGAGTGAGACTGTCTCCAAAAGAAAAAAAATAAAGAAACTTCACTTGACCCGCAATAGACCGATCTTCCCAGGAGAAGAAGGTTTTAAGTCTCCTTATCCCACTAAATTTACAGTGCAAACTGCAAAAGAAAAACAGCACAATAAATCAAATTAAAAGAGATTTAAATTATTTTCCAGATTCTAAAAATGCTTAAGTTGAAATTGTTTTACCTATTACATAAATAATCTTAACACCCTGTTCTTTTTGGAGTGGTTAATATCAGTTGCAGGAGACCCATCTTCCAAGGAGAGGAAACAACAAACAATCAAATAAATGTTAAGAAAATACATTTATATAGCATTAAGATAGTACATATTAATTCTAAATATACCTTTTACAAATTAATGTTTACCACATACATTTCTGGTTACATTTTTCAAATAATTTTACTAGATAAAAGAAGTTCAACTGAAGAGAAATGTTATGAAATAACCATAATGTTAGCAAAACTATGAATATGTTTAATATTTACATTGTATAGTACAGTTTATTTCTATAAATAAAATTATCTTTTCTGATATTAAGTACTTCATTATGGATAGAAGTGGCATATATTATTGATGTCTTTAACACACAACACTTGTGAATTTCATGGAAACAAAAAGATAAACCAGAAGCCAAAAGTTTTCCCCTGAATTCTACACTAGATTTCAATTCAGTGTATCCTCCTTCTTTACAGTTCTGACCTTTAAATATTAGTCCTTTGAATGGCATAAGATCTGAATATCTGAAGGACTGATTTAAGTCTACTTTCTCACTTAATAGCCACTGGACTAACACAGAACATCAATATGTTCTCAGGTTTGCTTGGTAAGAGTTCAAGAAAGACCTGTCTCTTTCAAGAGTAAACTCCTATTTGAATGCTCCAGCATAGATACATTAAAAGAAAGATATTGGGCACATTACTTTATTAGATCTGTCACTATATTCTTTGCTGAGCCTCTAAGAATTTTCAAAGGACTAAACTGGGTATGAAAAATAAATGCAACATATTATTAATTCAACATCTTGCCAAAATGTATATAAATGTGTACAGATAAATGTATATAAATATGTGTATATAAATGTGCACAGATATATATACACACACATATATACATATATATAAACAGCTATAATTCAAGTTAATTAAATTAAGAGCACCATTGCTTTGTTATTTTTTAAGTATTGAAACTAACCATCATTAGCTTTTTCATACAGTCTTAGCATCCCAAACCGTCAGGATTTGGATAATTTTGGTTTTATATATTTCTATGTTAATTTATAAGTCTCATATTTACTTTTTCTATAGTCTCTTTTCTCAGCTAAATTTCAAGTTATTTTAAAACAGAACAATTTCTTTTTATTTTTGCTAATGTACACTTAAAACTAACCCAAGCCCTTTCCTCTTATTGCCAGAAGTGATTTGTACCCCTGGCCTCATGCATTTATACTGACCCTCAAAAGCTCCCCAGAAGAAAGGCACACTCTTTCTCATAACTCACTAGTTCTGGTTCTTTAAAGCCTTTATATTTATTTTATTGTTTCTTAATAAATGCTTCAGATTTCAGAGAAGCTGAGAAATAAATTCAAAATGTATTTTCAGTACAATCATGTGTAGATAAATGATGGCAATACATTCTGATAAAGATGTCCTTAGGAGTTTCTGTTATTGTGTGAGCATTATAGAGCATACTTACACAAACTTAGCTGGTATAGCCTAATACATACCTTGGCTATATGGTATAGCCTATTGCTCCTAGGCTACAAACCTGTACAGCATGTTACTGTACTAAAGAAGATTGTAAGCAGTGGTAAGTATTTATATTTTAAACATGTCTAAACATATAGTAGAAAAGAGTACAGTAAAAATAGGGCATTATAATTGCATGAGACCACCATCATATACACAGTTGGTCATTGATCAAAATATCATTATGTGGTGCATGACTATAGTTTTTAGTTGTTCTTACAGAGCTCAGCTAGAGGGAAAAAGTTAACTAAAATAAAATTTAGAAATTATCTCAAGATTTCTTTACTTCAGTGTCTTATTCATATAAGCATAGATAATTTAAAGTGGAAACAAGACAGTAAACAGAAGACTCCCACACTCTCAATATCATAAATGAGGCCCATCATGTCCATCATGTCCATCAGCGATCAATTATGGCATTTTACAATGGTGAACCTATTTCCACTGAACCACCTAGAGTCATATCTGTGGAAAGCAATATAATCTCGGTGTAAATAACAATATTTTCTCAGATACTTGGCTATTTGAGCAAAATCTATTTTGACTTCTGTTCAGAAACAGTGTTACTTAAGCAATTTCAGAGTTTGCACGGTATGCAGGATTTAAAAATCTTTGAGTGTGAGGAGGAAAAACAACAGAATGAGATAATGGGGACAAGAAAAGAGAAGGACGGGCTACACAAGTTATTACACCCTAGAAAATATCACCAAGGAGAATTGGATGGACAAAGAGAGATGGGCTGAAATCAGAGCATCAGGGTCTTTTGGCACATAGCCACACATTCTAACACTCGTTAGAAAAACTCACTTATTTTCCCACTTATGAGTGAGAACATTCAGTGTTTGGTTTTTTGTCCTTGTGATAGTTTGCTGAGAATAATGGTTTCCAGCTTCATCCATGTCCCTACAATGGACATGAACTCATCCATTTTTATGGCTGCATAGTATTCCATGGTGTATATGTGCCACATTTTCTTAATCCAGTCTATCATTGATGGACATTTGGGTTGGTTCCAAGTTCTCACTCATAGGTGGGAATTGAACAATGAGAACACTTGGACACAAGAAGGGGAACATCACACACAGGGGCCTGTCATGGGGTGGGGAGAGGGGGGAGGGATAGCATTAGGAGATATACCTAATGTAAATGATGAGTTAATGGGTGCAGCACACCAACATGGCACATGTATACATACGTAACAGACCTGCACGTTGTGCACATGTACCCTAGAACTTAAAGTATAATTTTAAAAAAAAATTAAAAAAAAGAAAAACTCACTTATTTTCAAACCCAGCATCTATAGAACTGTTGTTTCTCAGCCTCAAAGCTGCTCTGCTGTATGCTCTTCATGGTACTGGATCTAGAGTTCTGCAAACAGTGCTTCTCCTTTGCCAAAAGGGAGCACTAGAGCAGGGGTTGACACACTTTTTTTTTTTAAGGGATGGATGGTAATACATTTTTTGTTTTGGTTTTGTGGGCTTCTGGGCCATGTCGCAGTTATTCAGCTGTAGCTTTGCAGCATGATAGCACCCATAGATAATAAGCAAATAAATGACCATGGATGTGTTACAGTAAAAATTTAGTTATGGTCACTGAAATTTGAATTATATATAACCTTTACCTGTCATGAAATAGTATTCTCTTTTCTCTATTTCTTTTGTTCTTTCTTTTTTAAAAAGCAAGACAGATTCTTGCTATGTTTCCCAGGCTGATCTTGAACTCCTGTCCTCCAACGATCTTCCCACTTCAACCTCTCGTGTAGCTGGGACTATAGGTGTACATCAATTCTTAATTCACAGCTTCTCCAAAAACACAAGACAGGCCACATTTGGTCCATGGGCTGCAGTTTGCCACTCTCTGCACTAGAGAGATACTACAAGGCAGAGACAAGGGTCTTGCTTTTCTTGTTTATTTGCACTGCAGTCCACCTGACTACAGCAATCAAACTTCGCCTTTGCAGTGGCAGTTGGTACTAGTCTTTAGTTGTGTCTTTGCTCTTGGTCTCTGAGGACCAACTTCATTATGCTTTCTCAGATTTACCTGAACCATTTATGATGTTCAGGACTTAGCTTCAAGACACCCCTCCTTTGAGTTCCTGAGGACAAGTAACAGCTGGATGCTGCTTCCTTCTCAGAATTCTGAGTTTCAGCAATGTGGGCCTCTCCTCAAAGATCCTTAAGGAACCAGCATTCTCTAGCAAAGGATCCCTTTGCTAAGGTCTGAATTCCAACTCTTCCAGGTCTCTTCTCAAAAACTTGACATTCTAATACTTTCTCCTTTTGAAACCGCCATTGCAAAATTGTAACTGAGACAGTGAAAGAGATCTGACCTAACCAACTCCATCTTTCTTTTAACCTCTAAGCTGTCCTTGTACATTCCTGGGCATAGGTTTAACTAACTTTAAGAGGAACTTATAGTTTAAAACAAAGATGAAAACAGGTCTTTCCCAAGGCAAATCTCCTTCTTGCCTGGAGACTAGACTGACTTTGTAGGACTAACAAACTAGTCACAAGATTAGAAATTATGGTTTACGGGTCATGCAGCTGGAGGCTACAAGATTCTGACCCTCCCTAAACTACTCCTAAGGTCAGCACTTGAGATATTTTGCAGACCCTGCACTTGATGGATCAGCTGGCACCACCCAGATCAATAAACTGGCTCATCTGATATTTTTATGGCCCCAACCCAGGAACTCAGCACAATAAGACAGCTTTGACTCCTTATGATTTCATCTCTGACCTGACCAATCAGCACCCCCAGCTCACTGGCTTCCCTTCCCCCACCAAGTTGTCCTTACAAACTCTGATCCTGAATGCTCAAGGAGACTGATTTGGTTAATAATAAAACTCCAGTCTTCCTTACAGCTGGCTCTGCATGAATTACTCTTTCTCTATTGCAATTCCCGGGTCTTGATAAATTGGCTCTGTCTAGGCAGCAGGCAAGGTGAACCCATTGGGTGGTTACACTTTGTTCCCCAAGCCATTGAGGTTGGAGTTACCTCCTGAGGTTACTATCTTTGTGTTAACTCAGTGTTCCTTTTCTACTTTTTTATTTCTTTACCACCTGTTTAATTATTTTATTGAATTCTCTCTGTTGAAGTACCAGTATGATTTTTGTGTTTCTAACAGGATGATGACTAATGTACTAATATACTTCTCCTTTGCTATGCAGCCTGTGTTACTCAGGTTACCTAGTCAATTACAATGGCATTTCAATTCAACACCCCAGCAGCTATTGATTACTAGTCCAGCTGATCATTATGATTATTACCTTCTAGCACTGATTTCTTACTTTCTTTTGAACAATTTCTTTCCCAAAAAAATCAAAGCAGGCTCAGATACAAACTCTTAGGCCTATTCTTGGTGCTGAAGAGGTGCTATAAATTAGATGTTGCAAATACACTAAGACAAGTTAAACTGTAATTTATCCCAGTCACACAGTTTTCAATAATTTATTTAAAAGTTCCCTGGCATAATTATCTCTCTAATTATACAACAACAACTGATATTCAACGGAGACATTATATGTCAAGCATTATTTGAATGGATAACATATTTTGCATTTTTGTATTTAGTTTTTTTAGTGACTGGTAAGATATATATTATATAAATTTTAAATATAAATTACTTATATATGTTAATTATATATATATATAAGTTTATATATATATATAATTAACTTCCCTTATGTGGATAATGATTCTTATGCATAGATATAGTTAATTTGTTTAAGGTCATGTATATCATAAACATCAGAATCATTATTTAAATATTTTGACACTGGATGTCTTATTTTTTAAAATTTGATTTAGGATTACATGTGAAAGGTTTGTTATATAGGTAAATTGCATGTATCAGGGGTTTAGTGTAAAGATTATTTTGTCACTCAGGTAATAAGTATAGTACCTGATAGGTAGTTTTTATATCGTCTTCCTCCTCCAACCTTCTACCCTACAGTAGAATCTAGTGTCTGTTGTTCCCTTCTTTGTGTCCATATGTACTCAAAGTTTATCTCCTACTTATAAATGAGAACATGCAGTATTTGGTTTTTTGTTCCTTTGTTAGTTTTCTTAGGATAATGGCCTCCAGCTTCATCCATGTTGCTGCAAAGAACATGACCTCATTATTTTTTATGGCTGTATAGTATTTCATTGTGTATATGTACTACAATTGTTTTAAGCCAGTCTACCATTGATGGACATTTAGATTGATTTCATGTCTTTGCTATTGTGAATAGTGCTATGATGAACATACATGTTCATATGTCTTCATGGTAGAATGATTTGTATTCCTTTGGGTCTGTATCCAATAATGAAATTGCTGGGTCAAATGGTAATTCTGTTTTAAGTTCTTTGAGAAATCACAAAACTGCTTTCCACAATGGCTGAATTAATTTACATTCCCACCAGCAGTGTATAAGCCTTCCCTTTATTCTACAACCTTACCAGCATCTGTTATTCTTTAACATTTATTTATTATTATTTATTTATTTATTTCGCTCTGTCACCAGGCTGGAGTTCAGTGGCGTTATCTTGGCTCACTGCAACCTCTGCCTCCTGGGTTTAAGCAATTGCTCTGCCTCAGCCTCCAAGTAGCTGGGACTACAAGTGCGTGCCACCATGCCCAGCTAAATTTTTGTATTTTAGTAGAGATAGGGTTTCACCATGTTGGATAGGATGGTCTTGATCTCCTGACCTCATGATCCAACTGCCTAGGCCTCCCAAAGTGCTGAGATTACAGGCATAAGCCACCATGCCCAGCCATTCTTTAGCATTTTAATCATAGCCTATCTGACTTGCATTTCATTGTGGTTTTAATTTGCATTTCTCTAATGATTACTGATGCTAAACATTTTTCATATGCTTTTTGACCACATGTATGTCTTCTTTCTAAAAGTATCTGTTTTTGTACTTTGCCCACTTTTTAATGAGGTTGTTTGTTTTTGATTGTAAATTTAAGTTCCTTGTAGATGCTATATATTAGACATTTTTCAGATGTATACTTTACAAATACTTTCTCTAATTCTGTAGGTTGTCTGTTTACTCTGTTGATAGTTCCTTTTGCTCTGCAGAGCTCTTTAGCTCTATTTGTCAATATTTGTTTTTGTTGCAATTTCTTTTGGCATCTTCATCATGAAATCTTTGCCAGGTCTTATGTCCAGAATAGTATTACCTTCCAGAGTTTTTAAAGGTTTTTAGGTTTTATATTTCAGTCTTTAATCCATCTTGAGTTGAATTTTGTAGATTTATTGAATAGGGACTTCATTTGCTGTTGCAAATTTTGTCAGTTTTGGCAAAGATCAATTGGTTGTAGGTGTGCAGCATTATTTCTGAGATCTCTCTTCTGTTACATTGGTCTGTGTGTCTGCTTTTGTACCTGCACTATGCTCTGTTGGTTACCATAGCCTTGTAGTATAGCTTGAAGTTGGGTAATGAGATGCCTTCAGGATTGTTCTTTTTTCTTAAGATTTCCTTGGCTGTTCAGGCCCTTTTTTGGTTCCATATGAATTCTACAATAGTTTTTTTTTGTTGTTGCTGTTGTTGATTTTAGTTTTGTGAAGAACATCATTGGTAGTTTGATAGGAATAGCAATCCATGAAAATGGAATGTTTTTTTCATTTGTTCATGTCATCTCCAATTACTTTAAGAAGTGTTCTATAATTCTCATTCTAGAGATATTTTACCTCTTTAATTAGCTGTATGCCTGGGTATTTTATTCTTTTCGTGGCTATTGTGAATGGGATTGCATTCTTGATTTGGTTCTCACCTTGAATGTTGTTGGTGTATAGGAATGCTAGTTGATTTGCACATAAATTTTGTATCCTGCAATTTTGCTGACAATGTTTATCAGATCAAGGAGTTTTTGGGCAGAGACTATGGGGTTTTCTAGATGTAGAATTGTTTGCAAGCAGGGATACTTTGGATGTCTGATTTTTAATCACTGTGATGTACCTTTCTGTTATGCATCATCCAAGTCCCCCTTTAAGATTATAGGATTTATTCCCCTAGCTGCTGGGAATGCTGTCAGTTTATTACTTTTTCTGGAACTTTCTCTAGGCTTAACGTAACTGCTTCACTCAAGTTGTGCCTACATCCCAGGGGCAACTTTCACCTGGTGTCATCAGACTCTTTACCATCATGCAGACCAACTTTGAAGGTCTGTGCTAGTTTTAGAGCTCCCCATGGGTTGAGTTACTGAAGCCCAATGTATTCTTCTGTCCAATCCTGATTTCTTCTCTTTTTTCCAAAGTTATTAATCTGAAGAGCTTCCTAATAAATCTTATTGCATGTCAATCTCTGTCTCAAAGTCTACTTTTTTGGGAACAGAATTTGCAAAACCCAAGTAATTTAAATAAAATCAGAATGTTTACCATAACTTCATAAAGAGACAAGGCTCATTGACAAAGAAATGTAAACTTTACTTTTAACTTTTAAAAACATAAATAATATTTGTTTTGTTTTCTTTTGTTTTGAGACGGAGTCCCGCTCTGTCACCCAGGCTGGAGTGCAGTGGGTCGATCTCCGCTCACTGCAAGCTCCGCCTCCCGGGTTCACGCCATTCTCCTGCCTCAGCCTCCCAAGTAGCTGGACTACAAGTGCCCGCCACCGCGCCCGGCTAAATTTTTTGTATTTTTAGTAGAGTCGGGGAATAGTATTTGTTAAGTGCTCACTCTAAGTTTTTACATTTGGCACTAAACATGTATTTTCTCCATTATGACAACAGAATAGAGCATTTTCAAGTTTCAGATGAAGTAACTTGCATAAAGTTGCATACAGTCAGGTATTAAGCTAGATTTGAACCAAGGTCTCTTAACTACATAATCTATTATATTTCCCATCACAGCTTCTGACTGTAAACTAGTTTGGTAAAGAACGATAACCATCTGTTTATAATAGTTAAGTTAAACCCATTCAAAACTTAAACCCAAATGGTTACTTGAATACAGGTGGGTTTTATTTGCAACAATGTAAGCATTTATATGACTACTATAAAACAATAATAAGAACAAACAAATAACAGAACCATTTAGGACCTTGTTGTATTAATTTATTTTCCAGAAAGGAGCCAAATGAGTTAAAAAACCCACTTGTTAATTTCCAGTTTAGCAATTGATTATGTGATGAATATATTGCTGTACAAATGAATTACAGGTGTGACTAATTTCTCTAACATGTTGAAATATAACAATGTAGTTTTTTTCTTAATTAAGCTGTTAATTTTCTTCCTTCTTCTGGCTTTGTCACCACTTTTGAATTTAAGTAGTATTAGCCCTGTCTTCATTAGTAAATAGAATTTCAGGTTGGAATTCTGAATACAAGGACCCCAAATGAGAGAGGTTATGCTAAATGAACCTAAAGTTAGCGTCTGCTATGAAGCCCTCTAGCTCAACATTGACAGTATTTCCAGTGGGAAAGTTACTGTAATTGGAATAAATAGTATTCCATATTTATCCTTAGCTCTGCAACATCTCTACCTTTCTCCCATCCTATAATGCTTAATTGTGTAAGGGTCTCTGGGATGTGTTTAATTCATGTTAACTATTATTTTCATCATTTCCTGCTTTCTTTGAATTATGTAAGCTGCTGATTTCAGGTTTGAATTATGTAAGCTGCTGAAATGTAATTAGAAATATCCTCACCCTACTTCATAAAAAACAAGTTTAATTGGGAAAATTTATTAATTTATCTAGGCTAGAAATAATATGTTCTTTATTTTGTCAATGAGTAAATAGTAAAGAACTTTTTTAAAAGGATATTTCAATTTGTATTGAAACTTATTTCTAGAATATTTGTTCAGTGTAAAAATGTACACAAAACATTTATTCATTTTCCTTTTGTCAAATAAATGGTCCTCTTAAAAAGTAGGTATTAAAAGGATGTAAGTGAGAAAGTACATCTAAAACAGCCCATACAAGAATAGAAAGCCTAGGTGAGTTGCCCTGGCCTGTTCTAGATAAAATATATGTTTCTCGAAGCAACTGATCATTACCCATCATTTGTTATAACCTTAAAGTAGAATGTATAGACCCGTGCTGCTATCCACATTGATTTATCTATGCTACTCTTCAGAATTCTGGCAAAGAATTTGACATCAGAAAGTGCCACTCATTCATTGTACAAATATTCATGAGCAACTGTATAAGATACCAAAATGAAAGCTGCAGCAAATATGAAGATAAAACGGGTACAAGCACTTCTGTTTTTGAATTTTGAATAAATAGTAAAACTGCACAAATGCATATGATAAGAGGTGCGACATATTGAGTGGCACAGGAGATGTTTATCTCATATGTTATAGAAGTTCCTAAAAGCTTGATCATGAATCTAACCTCCTCTTTTAGGGATTAGAAAAAAGATCAGAAAAAAAAATCTGGAGTTCCCTAAAAGCACCTGGTTAGTTGAACAAATTTCCAACTTGTTTAAACAAGACCTAAATCTAGGATTCTATATGCATTTTAATCTAGTGATATAAGTGTATAAACTACTAAAATTCTTTGTACAGCATGCGATTATTAAGAAGCTTCTGTCCTCATATAAATTGAGTCTGGACATAAGCCTCACCAATACAATTCTTCAGTCATCTGATCTAACCTGTAAGTAAAGGGTTTTCTTTCTTTCTTTTTTTTTTTGAGATGGAGTTTCACTCTTGTTGCCCAGGCTGGAGTGCAGTGGCATGATCTCAGCTCACCGCAACCTCCACTCCCGGGTTCAAGCAATTCTCCTACCTCATCCTCCCACGTAGCTGGGATTACAGGCATGTGCCACCATACCTGGCTAATTTTTTAATTTTTATTTTTAGTAGAGATGGGGTTTCTCCATGTTGGCCAGGCTGGTCTTGAAGTCCTGACCTCAGGTGATCCACCCACCTTGGCCTCCCAAAGTGCTGGGATTATAGGTGTGAGCCACCGTGCCCGGCCAAGTAAAGGGTTTTCATTGATTTCTAAAGCTTCAGCATTTAATAGGAAGCAACTATTTAATTAGTATTTCTTTGAGTTGAAAAGAAAGCTAGAAATATACATTCATATTGGGGATAAATGTAATTATAGAGAAAAGTTCATGTCAATAATAAATTTGTGTTAGAGATTTTACTTTTTGAAAGTTATTACCAGCAGCATGGTGTAGTCGAATTATAAATTATTTTCTGAGGTTCTGAGTTCAGTCATGTACTGTTGTATTATTGAATATATTATTGTATTTAGGCTTTATTATTGTTAGTAAGCTAAAGAGATTTTCTAAGCAGCCTCAAATATTATAAGTTAACACAATTTACATGCATTGGTTGTTCATAGCAGTCCAAGTAGATGCAGATCTTGAGATGGGGTGGGGGTTGGGGTTGGCAATTGGTTGTGATGTATGTGTTCTTTTCTGTGAAGTTATTCAAGTACTAGGCTACTGCAGGCTCTGTAGTCTTCAGTATGTGGCTTCCAAAATAACACTAAGAATTATCAATGCTGATGCCACCTGAGCAAGGGGTAATGGTGGAGCACAAGTTTTAGAGGCAGGTCTGAAAGCAGCAAAAATACTTTGTTCAAGTTTCATTGGCTAGAACTCAGCCACATGGCAACATCTAAATGCAAAAGAGTGTGAAGATAGTCAAGTTATTTTTTCAAAGTGAAATGGAAGAATAAATTTAAAGGCCAGTTCTCACTTTCTATAACAATCTGATCTTCAGATACACGTCACTCTTGTCTTTATTCTTAGAATTAATTCAGTCCTTCCCAAAACATGGCAACATAAATTTCCATTTATTTATTACATCAAACTCCAAGTTCAACATCTATGGTCTATAGGCAGATTTCTGTAGTACAACAATTATAAATTCATAAATGAATAAATATCTCTCATTTGTCCAAGTACACTTGCACACAAAAAATAGAAAAACAGTGCATTTATTGTTCTATAAGAGTTATAGAATTCTTTTTTAAAAAATTATTGGTACATAATAATTGTACGTATTAATGGGTTACATGTGATATTTTGATACATTCATACAAAGTGCAATGATTAAATCAGTGTATTTAGAACATCACCTTGAACATGTATTATTTCTTCTTTGTGTTGGAGGTATTTTAAATCTCTTACAGCTATTGAATAAGCACTACAAAGACTCCTTTGGCTCTATCCAATGGAAAGGTCTTTCTTATCGATTATCTTCCATGGCCACAACTATATAGGATTATGGCAAGTATGTCCTCCATGAGCAGTGTACATCTTTAACAGCCCTGCTTTCTGCTGTTGTAAGTTTGTGACTCAAGGTTTATTGCCTGTTTCACAAATTTCAAAGCTTTCTGAGACCAGACTCATTATATCTTTAGTAATACAATTTCTGTTAAACCATTTACACTTCTTCACTACCACATATCCTCAAATCTATACCTTTCTTTGTAGGTTGAATCAGTATTTTATGTGCCACTATGCCACCATTTATCAACATAAATGCTTATTTGATATGCATTAAAATAGAATATTTAGTTATAGGCATAGATATTTAATCTTAGGTCAGTGTTTCTCAAATTTCACTGTGTATCAGAATTACCTGGAGAGCTTGCTAGAATATAGATTGCTGGGTTCTACCTTCACAGTTTCTGATTCAGTAGGTCTGGGTGGCGCTTGAGGATTTGCATTTCTGATAAGGCTTAAGGGACACTGAAATAGCATTGTTGTCTGGGGTAAATACCCGAAGTTTGTTGTCTTACACCAGGGAAGCCAAGGACATGGAAACACAAGAAGTGAGTTTAAGAGCAAATGTTTAATAGGCAGAAGAAAGAGAAAGGAGACTAGATCTCTCTCTTGCAGAGAGAGAGGTGGTCTGGAGTGGATCTTTCAGTTCTGTGGTGAAATGATCGGGGTTTTATAGATGAACTTGAGGAGGTGGTGTCTGATTTACATAGAGCATGAGAGGTTGGTTGGAGTAGGTGTGACGTTTGTATAGCAGGCAAAGAAGCTGGCTATCCAACCTTAATATTTTATTATGCAGATAAGTTTTCTACTTGCCTGGTGCCATGTTGCCTGTTCCTTACTATACACGTGGTTGACAAAGAAAAGGGAAGATGGAGCCGCCATGTTGAACATGCCTGGCCTTCAAGTAGCCTTTTCTATTGGCACAGCTGTCAGCATTTACCTATGAAAGCATTTAGCTTGCTTATCTATGCTTGCAGCTTGATTTTTTCAGGCTACTTTATATTAGAAATGATGTTGTAGCTGTTTTTTATAAACAGCCCTCAGTAAGGGAACCTTACTGAGGACTCTCTCACCCTCACTATCTGCCTAAATAATTTCTTTCTAGCTCCTGTACCAATAATTATGCAGCAGTGCATGTACAAAGCTTTAAGAATCATTGTCATTGTTAATTCCTGTGTACATGTAGAAAGAAAGAATATAAGCACACAAATAGGATAAAGTTTCCAGAATCTGCCTTCAGATTCATGCAGTCCAACTTTTATACTTCTCTATTCAGTCATTAATGGCAAAATTTTCCACATAATATTATCACCTAGGTTATCAGGAACACTGAAAAAGAAATCTAAAAAATTATCAAAAGCCATTGGTGCTAGATTCATAAACTGATCACATTTAATTACAGCTAGACTACTTATTTCACTTCAAAAGTATTTTTTCACCACCTTCCCTCTATCTCAAACTAAAAAACAAACAAAGTAACAAAAAACTTTCAGAGAGTTTTAACAATATTCCATTTAACTTCCAGATTATTAAAAAATTCTTGGAATCATGAATACAATATTTGGCTTGAAAACATTTCTTGTGTCAATAACCACCACCCAAATTCTTTGCTACGTAATTCTTAAATATGCTTTATTTGCTGATATGTTCTGAATGTTTGTGTTCCCCTATAATTCTTATGTTGAAACCTAATCACCAATGTGATGATATTAGGAGGTTGTGCTTTTAGGCAGTGATTGGATCACAAGTGCATAGCAGTCATGAATTAGATTAGTGCCCTTATAGAAAAGGCTCCAGAGAGCTGATTAGTCTCTTCTACCATGTGAAGGATACAGGAAAAAGCAATCATCTTAAATGTGGGTCCTAAACAGAAATCAAATCTGCCTGAGTTTGGATCTTGGGAGTCTTAGCCTCTAGACCTTTTGGCCTTTTGGCTCTATCCAGTTTATGATATTTTCTTATAGTAGACCAAATGGACTAAGAAATTCCCCTACATACTTAATTTACTATGGGCTATGTGAGGCCATCCAAAGCAATATTCTTGTTAAAAAGCAACAGTATTAATCTGTTTTTTACATTAAGGATGAGTTTTTCTTAATGAGAAGTCTTGAACCTTTGTCTTTCTAAGCCTATTTTAGTCCTACCTCCCACTGTTTATAATCCAGAAGCACTTGGCTTCTCAAATACTGTGGGTCCCTTTATCTCTACTTTAAAATCAGCCATTTTTTTCCTGATCTCATTTTTTTTTGTAAAAAGTTGCTAAAGGCAGCAAGCAACTGTAAATAAAAATTGATACTGTAGCATTTTACAACTCCCTACCCTAGAGATACAGGAGTAGTGAGCCCACAGTCTGTTGTTCAAGCTATAACAGGTGAGAGTTCACCAAATTTTTGCCACAAGATAACATAGATCTCCATTTCCCAATTTGCCATATTTATTCCCTTGATTTCAACTTCTGAACTGTTAATTCAATGCCATATATTTTAGATTTGTTAAAGCATTACTTTAATATAGGACACTAATTGTATTACAGTGCTCTAAACTGTTTTCAGTTATCAACTCCTCTCTGCAGGCAGGTCATCCCCTGACAAATGCTCAGCTCTCAGCAGAGAGGGTAGTTTCTCTCTGCAACTGGTCCTCTTATCATCTCTCCATCTTCTCTTCTGCTCTGGCTAAGACAGAGGGGAGGGCTTTTGTGAGCCTCAGAGGGGAGGAAGTGCATGCCAGTTGGTCCATGGGTGGCCACAGGCAGCCCAGAAAAGGTACCACAAATCCCCACTTCAGTCTGTGGGACAGGCAGCCTGGTCCCCAGTTTTGAGGCTCTCCCTGTCCTGAAGGTGTGGCCTCACCAGGGACCTGCCCCTTCACCCAGGGGCCTGTCTGACTTCTGCTGCTATTTATGGCACCCAGGCTTGACCCCGACTGCTCTGAGATTGGAGAGGGCACCAACATCAGGGAGAAGCCAGGCAGTGGGGGCAGGCACTTCCAAGCCTGCAGGGGCAGGGGGGCATTCCCGGGCCCCCAAGTATGCAGTGATGCCTGAGTCTGTAGCCTCAGTTTCAGTTTGGGCAGCTGCAGCTGTTCAGGGAATGAGGGTGGTTCCTGCCTTCTCCATGGAGTGGGAGGCCCAGGTGTGCAGCCGTGTTGCTGCAGCAACAATTGGGGAGTTCCTGCCCGAACTAAGAAAGGGCGGGGCTCCCACTTCTCCCTTGCTTCTGCCAGCTGCACACAACATGCAGCCCCAGCTGTACCTCCCTGCTACAGCCTGCGGGATGGCAGCGTCAGGCTGTCTGGAGTGGTCACTGTCATCATTAGCCTCTTTCTTTCTGAATGGCAGTACTCACAATGGTGATTCGAAGGTCTTGAAATGAAAGACATATCTAATTTGCATAAATAAAAACATCTTCCAATCAATTATGAATGTAATTTGACATGACATATTTTGGTATCAGATATTTCCTTTACTCTTTAAAAATGTCTATCAAAGTAGAATCAAAAAGCTTGACCAGAACCCTGAACTCTTGTGATTAGCTCTATAATTGATGACTTATTCTGCCCACATTGCTTAACACAACCTCTTGAAACAGCATGGCCCAAGGTCTTAACTAAGAAGTAACAGAAAGTAATTTGCTCAGCATTTTTAAGAGTTGACACCAATGAATTCCAATGAAGAAAACAATGAGTCATAGTCATGTGCAAAGATTCTTTTTAATCTAAACAATAATGTTTTATTATTCCAACTGATATGGTTTGGCTGTGTCCCCACCCAAATCTCAATTTGAATTGTATCTCCCAGAATTCCCACATGTTGTGGAAGGGACCCAGGGGAAGGTAATTGAATCATGGGGCCTGTCTTTCCTGTGCTATTCTCGTGATAGTGAATAAATCTAAGGAGATCTGATGTGTTTATCAGGGGTTTCCACTTTGGCTTCTCTCTCATTTTTTTCTTGCCGCTGACATGTAAGAAGTGCCTTTCACCTCCCGCCATGATTCTGAGGCCTCTCCACCCATGTGGAACTGTAAGTTCAATTAAACATCTTTTTCCTCCCAGTCTTGGGCATGTCTTTATCAGCAGCATGAAAATGGATGAATACAGTAAATTGGTACCAATAGAACAGAGCATTGCTGAAAAGATACCTGAAAATATGGAAGGGACTTTGGAAGTAGGTAACAGGAAGAGATTGGAACAGTTTGGAGGGCTCAGAAGACAGGAAAACATGGGAAAGTTTGCGACCTCCTAGAGACTTGTTGAATGGCTTTGACAAAAATGCTGATAGCATTATGAACATAAGGTCCAGGCTGAGGTGGTCTCAGATGGAGATGAGGAACTTGTTAGGAACTGGAGAAAAGGTGACTCTTGTTATGTGTTAGCAAGAGACTGGCAGCATTTTGCCCCTGCCCTAGAGGTTTGTGGAACTTTGAACTTGAGAGAGATGATTTAGGGTATCTGGTGGAAGAAATTTCTAAGCAAGGAAGCATTCGAGAGGTGACAAGTGTTTTTAAAGGCATTCAGTTTTATAAGGGAAGCAGAGCATAAAAGTTTGGAAAATTTGCAGTCTGACTATGCGATAGAAAAGAAAAACCCATTTTCTGGGGAGAAATTTAAGCCAGGTGCAGAAACTTGCATAAGTAGCAAGGGGCCTAATATCAATCCCCAAGATCATGGGGGAAAATGTCTCCAGGCCATGTCAGAGACCTCCACAGTAGCCCCTCCTATCACAGGACTGGAGGTCCATGAGGAAAATTTGGTTTCATGAACCAGGCCCAGGGTCCCCATTTTGTGTGCAGCCTAGGGACTTGGTGTCCTGTGTCCCAGCCATTCCAGGCTAGGCTGGAAGGAACCAACATACAGCTTGGGCTGTGGCTTCAGATAGTGGATGTCCCAAGCCTTGGCAGCTTCCATGAGGTGTTGAGCCTGCATGTGCACAGTAGTCAAGAATTGAGGTTTGGGAACCTCCACCTAGATTTCAGAACATGTATGGAAATGCCTGGATGTCCAGGCAAAAGTTTGCTACAGGGATGGGGCCCTAATGGAGAATTTCTGCTAGGGCAGTGGAGAAGGGAAATATAGGGTCAAAGCCTGCACACAGAGTGTCTACTGGAGCACTGTGTAGTGGAGCTGTGAGAAGAGGGCCACTGTCCTCCAGGCCCCAGAATGGTAGATCCACCAACAGCTTGCACCCTGGGCCTAGAAAAACCACAGACACTCAATGCCAGCCCATAAAAGCCACTGGGAGGGAGCGTGTATCCTGCAAAGCCAAAAGGGTAGAGCTGCCCAAGACCATGGGAACCCACCTCTTGCATCAGCATGGCCTGGATGTGAGACATGGAGTCAAAGGAGATAATTTTGGAGCTTTAAAATTTGACTGCCCCACTTCATTTCAGACTTGCATGGACACTGTAACCCCTTTGTTTTGGCTAATCTCTCCCATTTGGAATGGCTGTATTTTTACCCAATATCTGTACTTTCATTGTATCTATTAAGTAACTAGCTTACTTTTGATTTTACAGGCTCATAGGTAGAAGGGACTTGCCTTGTCTCAGATGAGACTTTGGACTGTGGACTTTTGGGTTAATGCTTAAATGAGTTAAGACTTTGGGGGGACTCTTGAGAAGGCACGATTGGTTTTCAAATGTGAGGACATGTGATTTGGAGGGGTTAGGGGTGGAATGACATGGTTTGGTTGTGTCCTCACCCAAATCTCAACTTGAATTGCATCAACAGAATTCCCCCATATTGTGGGAGGCACTTGGGGGAGGTATGAATCATAGAGAGTGGTCTTTCCCATGCTATTCTTGTGATAGTGAATAAGTCTCATGAGATCTGACGGGTTTATCAGTGGTTTCCACTTTTGCTTTTTCATCATTTTCTCTTGCTGCCACCATGTAAGAAGTGCCATTTGCCTCCTGCCATGATTCTGAGGCCTCCTCAGCTATGTGGAACTGTAAGTCTAAACCTCTTTTTCTTCCCAGTCTCAGGTATGTCTTTATCAGCAGGGTGAAAACAGACTAACACACCAACCAGTAGAGGTGTTCAACCTTTTCAGAGAATATAAAGATTTGCCTTCCCACTGAAATTTTTCCAGGCAAAAAATATTTAACTATTTTTAAGACAAAAATATTCTCTAACATTTTAATAGATAGCTGTGCAATTTGGATTTTCTAATGTGATTAGGCGTACTAATAACAGGCCAAAGTCCAAGTCTGGTTGCAATGTCAAATATCAGTGGTTACATCTAGTTGTTCATTAAAGGCAATTATAGTTGTACCTGAAACTACTTCAAACTATTCAAATGATCCATTTCTAAATAAACAATGTCATTAATATTATTCACCTCAATGACTTTTACTTTTCTACAATACAAAACAAATTTATGCTGTTAAAAAATGTGTTTTTTTCAGCTAAAGTCAATTAATGTTTTCCTTTACTTGGCAATGCAGCATGTAATTTTTAAGGCACTTCTGTTGAAGGCTTTTATGTTGGTGACTAATTCAAAAAAATTTTTTGAAGCTGTAACATCAAGTCATGTGTTTATGATGTGCTTTTACCATTGATGCAGTTTTAATATCAATAGCCATGAATTTTTTTGTGTATAATAGAAATAATTTTGACACACAATATTCTTGGACATTTTGTGTGACATTAGCGTCAGTGAAGGAAATGAAACAAAACTATAAAGGTACTTTATTGTTTTCCATTTTCGATATTTTTCTTTCTATCCCAGAGACTGATATAAGAAATAGCAGATATGCGTAATCCCAATGAAGCACTACATTTTCTTTTATGAAAGGAAGAACCTTTTCTGAGCATAATATACATCCTATACCACCTAGAAACAGTTTGAAGTAAAACAACTTCACAGTCTGATATATATATTTAGTTATTTTAATGCAGAAGTTTTTCAGAAAATAAGAGAGAAAAATTGTTTTGGAGATGATTTAATGAAGTTACAAAACTCCTATGAACAGAAATTGTATAATTTGTACTCCAAAAAATAAGTCATAAACTTTGAAGACATATTTCCTAAGAGAAATTAAAATATGACATAGAGTATGAAATAATAGATGTTGGAGACTCAGAAAGGTAGGAGAATGAGAGGGGACTAAGGAATAAGATATTAATTAATGGGCATAGTATACATTACTCAGGTGATTGTTACACTTTTAAAAGCCCAGACTTCACCATTACATAATATATTTATGTAACAAAACCGCATTTGTACCCCTTTAAGTTTTACTAAAACAAAGTCAGATAAAATTTGGCAGTAGAAATCTTAACATTTTTTGAAATTATATATGTATTTTTTCTCTTTTATTCTAATGGATAGTGTTCCTAAAGTTTTATTTATAGACATTAATAAAAGACAACATTTGAGAATTCAATTAGGCTATTCAAGATTTCTCAGAATGGTAATTATCCCACAGTTCTTTAAAAGTGCCTCAATCATAATATCTTGTTGTTGCTTTTTCAGCCTTTACTTTTACATGTGATCTTTCCTCAGTTGCAAATGGGCTTTTGGCAGATATGTACAAATGATTGTCTTTAATGGTATGGGTACTAATATTTTAATAGTCTAAAATTAGTTTAAGTATTTCCTTTTGAGACTATTATTACACTGCCATTTACAGAAAATAATTATTTCCTAAAATTTATAAACTTAGCATATCTTGATGCATCCTTTACATATTAGAGCAAGAAATGAATGTATCCATGGTAGTGATTAAATCCACATCCTTTAGTTTTAGTTTATTTGATAAAATATTTATTTCATGAACACATCGACAGAAATAACGTCCTTATTTCATCCGTCTCTAGTAGTACAGTATTAGAATCGCCAACTTTATGAAAGATATATTTAGTTAGTACATTTATTTTATGTTATTTTAATTACTTCATTGTACTGTATTTGTCATCCCTAGGGCTTTAATCCTTTATGACTGTTACATTTTCTAATAATTTGGAGTTAATTTTCAAATTAAGATAAAAGATAAATATATGTTTAAATATAAATTATTGTTACTTGTTCAAATCATAGACTCAGTGTACATATGGTAGCTACATTATAATGAAAAGAATACATGGTTTGGGGTTAGAGAGGTTAGAGCTAAATCTCTTCTATTCCCTTAGTAATTCTTGTGGTTGTAGACAACATTGTATCAGGAAAAGTAATAAATCATGATGCCAGATAGACATGTTAAAATTCCATTTTTTGCCATTTATGAGTAATAATGACTTTGGCAATTTTTATAAAACACACAAATGTTCACTTTCTTTATTTCCAAATGGGGGATAATAGCATTCCCATTATAGTGAATATACATTGAAATAGATATAAATGAACTATCAAACACTGGAAGCAGTGAGCTTTCAATAGATGCTTCTTTCAGCATTCAATTCTGTTTTCTAGTCCCTTTTAAACTAAAGCATAGATATGAAAACTTTATAATTTGGAGGATTAAGTTAATTACCATGAAACTGCTAGAATTGCAGTATGTTTTTGTAGGATCTAAAAATTTTATCTTTTGTTTTAAAGGACATTTTTCAGTACAAAAATAAGAGGCCTAATTGATGAAAATAATTCATGTATTCATTTAATAGGTGTTTATTTTAAACTTTTCATGTGCCAGGCACCATACTAAACAGAGATAAGACATACCTTCTTCTCTGCTTCATGGATATTCTAAAGAGGTAGATATATAAAAGGCAAGTTAAAGCAGAAAAAAAATAAATACAATCAAATTGTGTTGTGCTATAAAATTAATTTAGAAAACAGAAAATCCTGAGGAAATGAAGGAGTGTGCTGCATTATGGATAGATAGGCTTCATAGAAATTCCTAGTAAGAAATTGTACTTAAAAGAGAGACAAGCTAATGATGCAAACAATGAGCGAAAGAGCATTCCAGGCAGAAGGAACAGTATATAAAGGAGCCATGAAATAAGAAATTATTTGGAGTTTGACATGTTTAAGAAACTGAGAGAACATCAGTGTGCTTGTGGTTTAATGTGCCAAATTAGTTTGAAGATATAAATAAGATTAAATAACTAGGAAATACAGATTATATTTTGACTTGTAGGGTAAAAAAAAATTTCTAGATTTTAACTTTAAGTGCAATACAGTGCTATTGAAGAATTTTAAGTGTGTAAATTACATCATCTAATTTATATTTGAAGGTTTATCTTGCTGATACACGTACAATGAACTGAAGGAGGAAAAAAAAAAAGAAAGAAAGAAACTAGTTAGAATGCTGTTTCTAGTCCAGCTAACAATGATAGTGGCCCAGATCAAGATTTTAACAGTGGAGAAAGAATAAACAGGCCTTGTGTATGGATTAACAAAGGAGAATATGAAAAAGGTAGGAATCAAGAATGATTCCTAGATTCTCACCATGGGCCACCTGGATAATTGGTAATGATACTCACTTCATTCACGGAAGTGGGAAACACCTAAAAGTTGAGTAGAGGCTATATTTATATAGAAAAAGCTAGACATATTAAATTTTTCCAAGCAGAAATTTGAAATAAGTAGTTAAATATTTTCCCTTAAACATAAAGTATATATTATACTGCATTCCACAGTTTATTCATTTATCAAAACATCATGTTGTACACCTTGAATATATACAATTTTTATTTATCAATTCTACCTCAATAAAGCTGGGAAAAAACTGGCTAAGTATAAACTATGAATGGCAATAAAGAAAGATTAAGTTGTAAGAGCAAGAAAATTAAGACCATAGGGATTACCACATTTTTTATAACGGTATTTTGTGAACCAAAAAGTTATATAAATGTGCTGACAAAATTTATTTACTCAAAAGCTTTATAAATGCAAAAGTAAAGCATCATCAAATCACTTATGTTTTACTTTTAATTATATTTCCATTGTATGAAATAAAGTTTATACTGGAAAATATGTACCATGTATCTACCATGTCTATGACAAATCATTGGTACTTTGTTTAGTAAAGCCATTTGTTTCCTTTTATTCATTCCTCAGAGATATTATAGTTACATTTGCCTTATTCATAGTTATTTTTACATTATTTAATGTTCCTGAGAATTATTTCCCCAAATATATGTATTTTAATTTTGCCATTAGTTTCTATTTTATTATAAAGTACATGACACAAAGTTTCTAATCTTAGAATTTTAGACCACAGTTAATTTGGAAGTCACCTGTATTAAGCTGATTAAATAATGAGAAGGACAGGAAATAGTCTCTAAAGTACCTAGAGAAAAAAAAATATCTGCAGTTTAATAGCACAGATAAGGTTTAAAGGCTTATCTTTGCTGGGTTTTTTTTAAGACACGTATTAAAGAATGACCATCTCTGTAACAGATAAGAGTAAGTTTGGTTATCATCCCTTGTTAATTGCAACCAGTGATCTTTTCTATAAAGGTTCATTTATAGCTAAGTCCATGCATTTGTCTTCTAATTTATAGTTTTCAAAGCAAAGATTAACTGTTTTCTGTTTTGTCAGAAAACAAAAAGTACATTTTATGACCTTTCTTAAGTTTTATATGACATTGGTACCACAAGGAAAGGAAGCGTTGCCAATATTAATTGAAGGCCTACTTTGTTTAAGATACCATGCTAAGAACTTTCACAATCCTTTCCCTAACCTAGTTAAACAGGCTTTTAAGTACAAATGTCACATTAAGGAAATCTAGTATGATTTGGGAATGGGAAACTTTCCCAAGATTGTAAAGGTAATCTCATAAAATGGTTTTCTGTTTTCAGAGCTATAAATGTATCTCATTACTTATTCATGTCTTTATGACAACTTGTTTAAATAATTATTTTAAACCGTAGAAAAATAGTAATAAATTATGCATATAAAATATAGCTTTTATTAATTTACCCTCACTGTAGCCTTTGCAACTCTTTTCAATACCAAATGGTCTACAGGTGTTTGATACCAAGCTCTTGGCCTCCTGTGGATAGTGAATAAGATCTTGAGAGCTCAATTTAAGGCTACCCTATAGTGATGCTCACTTTTTAAAATAAAAACATTATCATCATTTTCAAAAGACAAGAATGATTAGAATTAGATACCATTATTAAGTAAATGTGATAAATAAAAATTGCATTCTGGACATTCACAATAAGCATCTGTTTTTACTCTCCAAAGTGCCACAATTTAGAAGATAAATTGTGTTACTGTGGCTACAATAGAAGTGTATTGCAGGTGTTACAGTATCATAGAGAATAAAAGCAAAAATGGACTATGAATAAAAAAAAGCTTTCTGAAAGTCACTTCCAACTTTATTTAATAGATGAAAAAGACTAAGAAAATATTATGTGAGTCAACAAGATGGCAGAATAAAAAGTCCATAGAAACACTGATTTAACCACAATATGAAAACTAAAATATCTTCATGAGTTTTCCATAATCCAGATAAAAAATTTAGTAACCCAGGCAAGCACAAAGATGAAAACAGCCACATTGAATTGGGTAGAAAGAGCAATTTTACTTTATCCATGTCAGCCCCTCTTCCTAGCCTTCACAGCTCAGTGCCAAGAGAGATAGCCCTGGCCTGCATCTTCCTCCTTGAGAAGAAAAGAGATATTAGAACATAGGTCCAATGGTGCAACTTTTCAAAGCTCTACCTAAAGGACTTGTTTTGGTATCTCCTCACTCCTTATTCACAGTACTGATGAAACTGGAACAAATTGGAGACCTGGCAGGATGCTGAGGAAAACAGAAAAAGGCAGGTGGCTTACAGTTGCCAACATAGCTTTGTGCAACTGAGGATGTACAACTTGAAACTTCTCCCCTGGGAGGGAATAAAAGTAGTGAGTATGCTTCCAACATCCTGGCTTTACAAAGAGTGATCTGAGGGATTGATTTGTCTTGCCTCATCCTTCATTTAGATTGACAGAAAGAGAAACAGAGAAGTAGAGTGTGTTTCTGGAGATCTGGGTTATGGGAGGTCTTCCCAAGGGAATCATATTTATTTAGCCTGATTGGGGCAGTGATGAGGAACTGCCTGGTGGCCACTGGGAAAAGAAAACATTGAGTCAGCTTGCCACAGCACCAGAGAGCTTGCAGAGCCCCAGAAAGACCCCACAAGGAGTGGAAGATTACAATGTTCTCAAAAATAAAAACAGCAAATTAATCTAATTAGGACTTTCCATGCACTACTAGAGAAACCATATACACAGAAAAGATTTGATAGGTCCCAGATCTTCTAGCCCAGTTGATTGGTAAAAGTCTTTTTCTCTGTAAGTTAGTCCCTAAAGACTTGGAGGGGTAGCTGTCTTCTCAATTGCATTAATTCAACACAAAATTTGAAAGAACATACAGAAATAGGCAAACATGACCTAACTAAAGGAACAAAATATGTCTCCAGAAGCTGACTCCAAAGAAACAGGTATATGATTTACCTGACAGAGAACTCTAAATTACATTCATAAAGACACTTAACATGCTCAGATAAATGTCTCATGAGAAAAAAAAATAAGCATTTTAACAAAGAAGTAGCAAATATATAAAAAATAAAGTTTGGAGCTGTAAAATACACTAACTGAACGGAAAAATTTGCTAAAGGAATTCAACAATAGATTTGCCAAAACAGAGGGAAGAATCAGAAATTCAAAGACAGAGAATTCAAAATTATACATTCAGAGGAGAAAAAAATGAAAAAGGGTGAAGAAAACATAAACTTATGGGGCAACATTATACAAACCAACATATGCAATATGAAATTTCTGGGAAGAGATAAAAAGAGAAAGAGTCAGAAAGATTATTTAAATAAATATATACAGATTCAAGAAGCCCAAAAGACCCCAAATGGAATAAATAAAAATAAATTCGTAGTATGATACCTTATAATCAAACTGTCAAAAGATAAGGACTGAGAATTTTGAAAACAGCATGGTAAAGTGGTTCATGCAAGAGAGTCCCTGTAAGATTCCCAGTGGGTTTCTCAGCAGAAGACTTTCAGGCCTGACTGAAATAATACAATTAATGTGAAAAATAACAAGCATAAAACCTGCAGTCAATAATATATCTGCCAAAACCATCCTTCAAAAATAAAGTTGAGATAAACACTTTTTCAGAAGGATGCTGAGGAAATTCATTACCACTAGACTCGCTATATGTATTAGTCCATTCTTTTACTACTAAACAGAAATACCTGAGACTAGGTAATTTATAAAGAAAAAAAGTGTAATTGGCTCACAGTTCTTAGGTGGTATAAACATGGTGCTGGCATCTGCTCAGCTTCTGGGGAGGTCTCAGGGAGCTTTTATTCATAGCAGAAGGTAAAATGGGAGCCAGCATATAACATGGCCAAAGAAGGAGCACGGTGAGGGGAGAAGGTGCAACTCACTTTAAACAACCAGATTTTGTGAGAACTCACTATCATGAAGACAGAACCAACACATGAGAGATCAACCCCCATGATCCAGTCACCTCCCACAAGGTGCAACCTCCAACAATGGGAATTACAATTCAACGTGGGATTTATTGGGGACACATATCCAAACTATATCACTGTATAAGAAATTCTTAAAGGATACTTAAAGTTGAAATGAAAAGACACCAAATAGCAACATAAAAATATTTCAACCTATAAAGCTCATTGGTAAAGGTAGCTATATTGACAAATAAAGAATATAATAATAATAAATCAATATTATTTCATTATAGAAGTTAACAATAAAAGTATAAAAATAACTATTGCTATATAAATGTGTTGACACATAAGGAAAAGATTAAAATATGTACAACTTTATAAATTACATCAGTTTATATATATCAGTAATATGACGGTTTCATTGCTAAATTCTACCAAACATTTAAAGACATAATAGCAGTTCTTCTGAATATCTTCCAAAAAATTGAAAAAGAAGGAATACTTCCAAATTCACTTTATGAGGTCAGAATTTTCCCGATACCAAAGACAGATGAGGATACTATAAGAAAAAAAATTACTGGCCAATATGCCTCATGAACATACATGAAAAAATCCTCAATCAAATATTAGCAAAATGCATTGAATAGCATATTAAAAGTACCATTCACCATGATCAAGTGGGATTTTTCCCAGGGATGCAAGTAGAGTTCAACATATGCAAATCTATAAATTTACTACAACACAAAAAAGAATAAAGAACAAAAATTTATATAACCACCTCAATAGATGCACAAAAATTAAAAAAAAACAACATCCTTTTATAACAAAAGTCCTTACCAAACTATGTATACAGAGAATGTAGTTCAACACAATAAAGGCCATACGTGACAAACCCATAGGCAGCATCGCAATCAGTGGTAAAGTTGAAGGCTTTTCCACATAGATCAGGAAAAAGACATGCCTTCTCTTGTCATTTCTAATGAACAAACTACTGGAAGCCCTAGCCAGAGCAATAAGGCAAGAGAAAAAAACTAAAATGTGTCAAAACTGAAAAGGAATAAGTTGTCTCTGTTTGCAGGTGGCATGGTCTTATATACAGTAAACCCTAAAGCCTTCATCAAAGAATTGTTAGAATAAGCAAATGAATTCAGTAAAGTCACATGATACAATAACAACATAGAAAAGACCAGTAGTATTTCTATATTTTGATAACAAATTATCTGAAAAGTAAATCAATAAAATAATTTCATTTACAATAGCTACAAAAATAAGATGCCTGAAATAAACATAACAAAAGAGATAAAAGATGTGTGTACTAAAATCTGTAAAGCAATGATGAAAGACATTAAAGAAGACACAAGCAAATTGAGAGATACCCTGTGTTCATGAATTGAAATAATGATTATTATTAAAATGGTCATACTAACGAAAGCAATCTACAGATTTAATAAAATCCCTGTCAAAATACCAATGACATTCTTCACAGAAATATAGAAAATATTCCAAAACCCACAGAAGACCCCAAATGCATGACTTCACTCATATGTGGAATCCAAAAAAAAAAAAAGAGTTGATATGGAAGCAAAGAGTTGAACAGTAGTTACCGGAGACTTGTGAGGCAGTGAAGGAGGAAAGGATGGGGAGATGTTGGTCAACAGGTACAGAGTGACATTTTAGATAGGAGAAATAAGTTCTAGTGTTTTAGTGCACCGTAGGATGACGATGATTAACAGTAAGATAATACTGTGTATTACAAAATTGGTAGAAGAGAAGCTTTTGAATATTCTTACTACCAAGAAATAGTAAATTCATGAGGTTAAAACATGAAAAATACCCTGATTTCATCCATACACAAAAGATATATGAATTAAAACATACCATTTTACCTTATATATATATATGTACAGTTACAATGTGTCAATTAAAAAAAGCAAAGATAAGACCTTTTCTGAGTAATTAACTTAAATATAAATTGATTAGCTTATCAACAAAAGACAATGAGTGGCTGAATAGACTAAAAGGAAAGCTCTGACTATGTTTTCTATAAGAAACTCATTTTATACTTAATGACAAACAGGCTGAAAATGGAAGGAAAAAAGCAATATAGCATACAAATGGCACCAACAGAGAGTAGCAGTGGCTATATTTATATTAGACAAAATTTACTTTAAGCCAAAAATATTTACAAGAGCAGAAAGACATTATATAATGATTAAAGAGTCCATTCACAAGAAGATGAAACAATTATATAGTAATCTAATATCACAGCAGCTAAATATATGAAGCAAACATTGACAGAACTGATAATACAAATAGCAATGCAGTAATGAGATTTCAATATATCAATTTTAATAATAAATGGAACATCCAGACAAAAGATGGATAACAGAAGACTTGAACAACACTTTAGACCAAATGAATCTAACATATATATATATAAAATATATATATTAGCAGTGTGAAAAATCTAACATATATATATAAAATCTAACATATCTACATAAAATATATATATTAGCAATGTGAAAAAGCAGTAATAAAATAAGTACCTTTCCTGGCAGGTCAGCCACTGGCATGATAAGGGCGTGTGTCTGATTTTCTGCAATTTCAGAAAATAAAACTACAAAAGATAAAACTCTTACCCAGAGCAATTTTAGAAATTTTAAAAGATTTTAATTAGTACTAAAAGATGTCATGCTAATTATGTGCTTCTGGAGTGAGGAGATAGAATCCCAGAGGCCATCGTTTTCTTTCATCACTTTTCCAGAGAATTTAGAAGCATCCAACCAACTTCATTATATTTTTTGGTTCTCCACAAATGGTCAAGTGTATCATGTATAGAGTCAATAAACCCTTTGCCTCTTAGGGGCAGTGACTCAGGAGTATCAGATTAATTTATTTTGCACAACTCTCTAAACTATTCATGTCAAGGGACTATCAGTGTTTTCCATAGTGTTAGAAGTAAAGTCCTTAGCATTTTTAGGTCTAATCATATTAATGAGCCAATTCCAGAAACCCCAAAACTGACTGAAGAAATCTATCCTTAAACTTCTGTTCTTCTAGAAACACTCTTAGGACCAATATCTGTATTAGTCTGAGTTCTCCAGAGAGACAGAACTAATAGAATATATGGATATATAAAAGGGAGTTTCTCAGAGAAAATTGGCTCACAAGATCACAATGCAAAGTCCCACAATAGGCCCTCTGAAAGCTGAGGAATAGAGAATTTGGTAGTGGCTCAGTCTGAGTCTGAAAGCCTTAAAATCAGGGAAGCTAAAAGAGTGCAGGCTTCACTCAGTGGCCAAAAGCATGAGAGTCCTTGGCAATACAGTGATGTAAGCCCCAGAGTCCAGATGTCAAAGAACCTGATGTCTGATGTCCAAGGGCAGGAGGAGTGAGAAGAAGCATCCAGCATGAGAAAAAGAAGGCAGCCAGAAGACCCAGCAAGCAAAGTTCTCCCACCTTTTTGCTTCTGCTTTGTTCTAGCCTCGCTGGTAGCCAATTCAATGGTGTCTATCCACGTTGAGGGTGGGTCTGCCTCTCCCAGTTTACCAACTCAAATGTCAATCTCTTCTGGCAACACCCTCACAGACACACCCAGAAACAATACTTTACCAGCCATCTAGCATCCTTCAATTCAATCAAATTGACACCTAATATTAACCATCACAAGGCATTTTGCCACCTTGGTTAAATTCATCCCTAGGTTTTTTGAGTGTGTGGCTGTTGTAAATGAGATTGCCTTATTGATTTATTTTTAAGCTTATATTTTTATAAGCTTAGAAATGCTACTAAATTAGTTCAACCATTGTTGAAGACAGTGTGGCAATTCCTCAAGGATCTAGAACCAGAAATACCATTTGGCCCTGCAATCCCATTACTGGGTATATACCCCAAGGATTATAAATCATTCTACTATAAAGACACATGCACACATGTTTATTGCAGCACTGTTCACAATAGCAGAGTTGGAACCAACTCAAATGCCCATCAATGACAGACTGGATAAAGAAAATGTGGCACATATACACCATGGAATACTATGCAGTCATAAAAATGGGGTAAGTTCCTGGGCGTGGTGGTCATGCCTGTAATCCCAGCACTTTGGGAGGCTGAGGCAGGTGAGTCACAGAGTCTGGAATTCAAGACCAGCCTGGCCAAGATGCTGAAACCCTGTCTACTAAAAATACAAAAATTAGCCAGGCATGGTGGCACATGCCTGTAATCC
Organism: Homo sapiens; assembly: GCF_000001405.40. NCBI lineage: Eukaryota > Metazoa > Chordata > Mammalia > Primates > Hominidae > Homo > Homo sapiens. The sequence goes on along the minus strand of NC_000003.12, from coordinate 164,099,222 downwards.
CAGCTACTCGGGAGGCTGAGGCAGGAAAATCACTTGAGCGTGGGTGGCAGTGGTTGCAGTGAGCTGAGATCATGCCTCTGCACTCCAGCCTGGGTGACACAGCAAGACTCCATCTCAAAAATAAAATAAAATAAAATAAAATAAAATAAAATAAAATAAAATAAAACAAAACAAAATAAAGAGATGAGTTCATGTCATTTGCAGGGACATGGATGAAGCTGGAAACCATCATTCTTAGCAAACTAACACAGGAACAGGAAACCAAACACCACATGTTCTCACTCATAAGTGGGAGCTGAACAATGAGAACACATGGACACAGGAAGGGGAACATCACACACCGGGGCCTACTGTAGGGGAGGTGGAGGGCTAGGGAAGGGATAGCATTAGGAGAAATACCTAATGTAGATGACAGGTTGATGTGTGCAGCAAACCACCGCGGCACGTGTATACCTATGTAACAAACCTGCACGTTCTGCATGTGTATACCAGAACTTAAAGTATAATAAAAAAAAAAGAAGAAATGCTACTAATTTTTGTTTGTTGATTTTGTATCCTGTAAGTTTACTGAATTGTTAATCATTTTGAATATTTTAAAACGAAAACTGCAGGCCAATATCCTATTGAACATAGACACAAAATTCCTCAAAAAACCACTAGCAATCCAAATCCAATAGCATGTAAGAAAAATAGTATACCATGATCAACTAGAATTTATCCCAGGAATGCAAGCAGGGCTTAACACATGCAAATCAATAAACATGATACATCATATCAACAGAATGAAGAACAAAATCTTTGTGATCATCACAGTAGATACAGTGAAAGCAGTTGATAAAATTCAATGTCCCTTCAATAAAGGCCATACATGACAAACCCATAGCTAATATCACACTTAATGGGGAAAAGCTGAAACTTCTTCTCTAAGAACCCTAGAACAAAATAAGGATGGCCACCCTCACCACTCTTATTCAACACAGTACTGCAAGTTATGGATGGAACAATTAGGCAAGACAAATAAATAAAAGGCATGCAAAATGAAAAGAAGTAAAATTGTCCATGTTTGCAGATGATTTGATCTAATATATAGAACAACCTAAAGACTTATAAACTTCCCTCATTTTATGACATTTTCTGCATCCCAAAGTGTTGGCATGTTGTATTTTCATTTTAACTTTCCTCAAGATATTTTGCAATTTACTTTGAGTTTATTGTATGACTCATTTGTTATTCAAGACTGTTTTGTATAATTTCCATGTGTTTGTGAATTTTGCATTTTTCCTTCTGCTATTATTTGGTGTTTCATTCCATTGTGGTCAGTGAAGATAATTTGGTATGATTTTAATCTTATTAGATTTGTTATGTGTTATCAATGAACCTGTGGTCTAGTCTGGAGAATGCTCCATTAGCACTTGAGAAGAATGTATATTCTCCTGCTATTGGGTATAAAGTTATATATTATATATATATAATTCATTTTGCATGCCTTTTGAGATCTAAATGTGTAGCTATTACCTATACTGGATGAGAGTTAGTTCAAAGATAATATGCCACAATAAACTAGAGCTTGAAACATTAACAATTAGCCCCACTAATACAATTTTTTAATAAAATTTTATCTTTAGATATGTTGATAAAATGATCTTATCTGTATACTACCTAATATGATGTCCTGAATATTTTTCAGCAGAAATCAATTATGTCCTGTATTCCCAGAATTACACCAAGCTTCCCTGGGCATTGCCAATTCTATAGTCAGTGGTTAATGGAGAGACTTATGAACCTTTAAGTTATTTTGCTCCAACAAAAGTAAAAATCAAGTCATATGTACTGAATCAAACAATATAGCTACCTAGATGTTCTACTCAATATTTATGACACTGTATCTAGTCAAAGGCAGCTCATAAACTCTAATGCTCACCTTCGCAAAAGTCAACCTTTTTGCCTTAATTGTCAGAAAACTCAGATACCTACTCTTCCCATTTTCTAATATTGTAAATAGCATTAGCACTATCTTCCTTGAGTTGTCTAATATGAATCACATTAAGTTATTTATCCCTATATATCCAGGCACTACACAGGAGCATCAAGACTTCAGTCACTTTTCATGTCTTGAATTCTTATTCTTATAAGCTTGTCTATATGCCACATTTTGTTAACATCTCTCCATCTTTTTAAATATTTCCATTGTCCTTTTGGGAATGGCCAGATCAACATTAGCAAAATGTTCTTTATACAGAGTATTTTATCTGAATGCTTCCTTGATGAATGCTCCTGCTTTTATGAAAACTAGCCTTCTACTGAAAACACTAATTCCTGGGAAGCCCTTTAACTGGTTGGTTTTATCCCAAAGAAATACTATTCTTTCTATGATGTGGTCCTCTACTCTACCCCAGACTCTTATTCCTTTGTTTACAATGCTAAAACTGAGCATTAGTAATAAGTGTAATCTGTGACATTTCTCACTCTATTCAACATCTCTTAAGTTTCTCTTCTGTGACATTTCTCACTCTATTCAACATCTCTTAAGTTTCTATTCTGTGACATTTCTCATTCTATTCAACATCACTTAAGTTTCTAGTTAATTTTCTCATTACTTTGTTGACTCCCCACCAAACTCCTTTCCTGATTGCTAGAGTATCAATCCAATGATTTTGATAATTTTTTGCTTATGTCAGCCATTTCAATTATGATCCAATTAATGTAATTTCTTCCTACCATACTTAGCTTAAAATCCATCATTAATAATCATCCAATTGAATATACCTGGAACTCAATGCTTTTATTTATTTATTTATTACCTCAGTAAAATCACAACACTGGTTAAACCCAATTCTCCAGTTAGACTGCACTTGCACCTGTGCAGCAAAGCACAAAATCACACTATTAGTCTATTAGCAAAACAACACGTAAAACAACATAGTAAGCTGGATTGGTATTTATCTGCTTAAAACCATTCAATAGATTTAACTTAGATGCAAAGAGAGCTGAAGCAGAATGAACAAAGAGCAGAATGATAGAATATGATAATACAGAGATATAGTGGTAGGTAAATTGTCAAAACATCATAGACCACCAGAAGACTGTGGTAAACCACAATGATCTCCTTGCTCATTTTACAATACATGAAATATTATTCTAACTCAGAGCCTTTAAACAGGTTTTATCTATTCTTATATTGCTCTTTCCAAAGAGAAAATGCCATCACCTCTTCAATTCCTCTCTCAAAGGTCACCTTCTCGATGAAGGCTAGTCTTACTTAGATTTGCAGGTGTACTTCCTCCTCATCTCCAATTACCTTCAATGGCCCAACCACCTTCAATTTGATTTTTCCTTTGTATTTGTCATCATCTAATATTTTGTGGTAGGCAGCTTGTAAAATGATTTCCAATGATCTCTTCCTTCCAATGACTTTCTGGTACTTACGTCTTTGCATAACCTCTTCCCCTTGAAGAAGAAGCTTACATGGGCTACACCTAGTAAATTGCTTCTAATGAATAGAGTGCAGCTAAAGTGATGGGGACCTTATTTCTGAGCTTAGCTTACAAAAACTGTGACTTGCTCATTCTCTCTCTTGCTCTCTTTTCTAAATCCTCACTTTAGAGGAAGCATGTTGCTATGTTGGGAGTAGTCCTACAGAGAAGTCCAGTGGTAAAGGACTCATGTCTTAGGCTAACAGACAGTGAGGACCTGACACCTACTCACAGACCCGTGAGTGAGTTTAGAAGGGCATTTCCTGTCAGTGGAGCCTTGAGATGAATACAGCCACAGCTGGCAACTTGACTACAGCCTCGTGAAGGATCCTGAGTAAGAGGATCAAAGTAAACCACATCAAGATTCTTGACCCCTGGAACCGGCAAGATAATGCATATTTATTGTTTGAAGCTGTTGACTTTTTGAGTAATTTTTCACTTAGCAATAAATATAACACATTTTATTATTTTTTTAGATATAATTTTTATTTTCTGATTCATGACAGCAGAGAGTCCTTTTTTTAAAAAAATTTCTGGTTTGATTGTACATATATTTTCCTGTGTTCATAGAACTGTGCCTTGCACACAGTAAGTACACAGTACTCATTAAATATTTGCTGAACAAATGTGTTAATGATTATTTTTCAAATACTTGAATGTTGATTTTCCAATGGTGAATTTTGAGAAACTATTTTATACTTTCATCTTTGTGATAGTTGGTATTTGTTAAATGTAATATACTATATTTCTGTAAAAATAGTAGCAAATATACATAGGTGTCAACAATTTTTAATTTTAAATAGAAATACAAATAATTATTTATACTTTTCAATGTTATTTAAATTTAAAAAAAAATACCAAATGCTATGTGACTGTGTAAATGCTCAAATATGTTTCATTAATTCTAAGTCCTGGATTCTTGTCCTAGAATTTTAAGGCATTCTATATGACTAATATTAAGCAGTCATTTCAACCTGTCTTGGAAATCTTTCCTCACCTATAAAATGAGGGGATGACTCATTGCTCTTGAGTCTCCTCTAGCTCTGAGTTTAGGAGTTTGCTTGTGATCCTATACATAAATAAAAATGTAAATAAAAGTGAGTTATTCTGAAGTATGGACATTTTTATAAATAATCGAGACTGACTTTAGAAAATTATTTTAACTAACTTGGGATTTACTTAGTAAGCAGTCCTAACCATTGTAAGGAATTAGTGGAAAGTAATAGAGTTAGACCTTCAAGGGTCAGGACTTCAACACTTGGTCAGGAAGTGGGTGGCTAAAGAAAAATAAATAATGAATTTGCAGCATTCTTAATTTTATAAAACCAAGCCAAAAGTCAAGTTTTTTCTTCTAACCTGCAATGTGGACTCTTTAGCTATGTACAATCTACCCAATTATAAGTGAGGACAAACCTTACACACTGAAAGTAATCAGTTTACTTCTTTCTGGTTTAGCTCTTTAAAGATAATTTAAATAAAGATGCCCATTATTTAGATGCTCATTATTTTAAGATAATTCTATAATAAAATAATTTAATGTTTTATATATTGCATATTGCTAAAAAATGAGGATTTGATTTATGTATTGAATTTTGGCTTTATGCCTTTTGAAATAAAACTCACTTATTTTTAGCAAGCAATGAAGATGGTGACTTTGACGTTGTCATTACCAACTAAACTATAGTTCAGTCTCTTCAGTGTTCTTGTTTTCTTTCAAAAGCTGTTTATTTTTATACCAAATGTTGTGCAACAGGGCAAGACCAGGCAGACTGGTAATTTGCCTGCAAGAAACAGCTTTATTCTTCATTATGGCAGAAGGAGGAAATTTCTTAAGACGGAAATAGATTATAAAATGAATGAATGATACCCAATCTTAAATATTAAGTATAGGTTTCCCTATATCAACAAATCATATGACTTACTGAAATTTAGACATGTCTGTAACCTATACTATTGTCTCTGAATAAAAAAGAAACTGATCTTGTCTGGCTCGCTACTCATATAGAAAATTCGGCATTTACCTAAGTTTCTGTTAGCAGTTTTATCAAACTTTGAAAACATTTTGCATAAAACTTTAGGTTTTTCCTGTATGGCCAAGGAGAATAAAATTTGTGCTGTAATTTATCATTCTAGGAATGAAAAAGTAATATCATTTTATTCTTGTATCATCTTACAGACACAGACTATTTATTAACATCCAGTAAATGGTCTCCCAATTTTTCTTTTCAGAGTTAAACAAATTCTACTTTCCTTTGTTTGCATTTTCTCCTACAGTATGATGGGAAAAGAGAAAAACATGGGTAAGCCTTTCTAAATATGTGAAATATTCCTCAGTCTATACATATAAATGCCTTTGTAATAAAAAACGTACCTGTGAAAATCAGTGGTGAGTTGTGTTTAATATACTCAGGTATCCATGTTTACTAGATGTCATTCACAGTGATTTCACTTGCCATGTTTCTTACCTTCAGTTGTATTCTAGAAGAATTTTAAAATCTATGCAGCAAATTCAAATAATCCTTAGAATAGAAAAAGAAAACGAAAGTCAACTTCAAAATGTTAGAGATTGAAAATAAAACTAAACATACTGACTTAGGATTGAATGATAAATTTAGCATGTTAGAAAGTATTTAATATTAATTTCACTGAGATTGATTTAAATATTTGAGAAGCTTTCTTCAGTGAAAATTATTTTTTCCTGAGAACACTCACAAAAACAATTAGCTAGTGTGATTGGGAAGCATGTATTTACTACAGACACCATCACTTTAATGCATTGGTTGATGTAAATAAATTAAAAAAATAGTTTTTATGATTCTAAATGTGAATCATTTAGAATGAGTTCTATGGCTCATTAATTGTGTTATTAATTACATTTCCATAATAAGAGCTATAAACAAAAGCAGGCAATTAAAATGAGTTAAAATGAAGACTTTTATATAACATTTTATATCATTAGAATAAAAAGAACAGATATTTCATTAAAATATAAAACATTTCAAATATTCAATCATTTGTGAATATTAAGCACAATACATTTGCATCATGAAAATTGGTTTCAACATAATACTATAAAACATACATGCTTCAGCAAGTAAACTAAAACATAGTGAAGATGTATAAGATAAAGATATTCATTACCTTTCTATATCCAACTCTCTATTTCCAGACTCTAACTTAACAAACTTTACAACATCTAGTACGTTTGCTTTTACAACTTTGTATTTTAGTCTGTGCGTGTGAGCGTGTTTGTGTGTATATACACACATGTATGACTTTGAATTTATCTTTTACTTAGTAGACAACTCATGGACAATATTTTCTCATTCATGGATAGACTATTATCTGTACAATAAATTCTATATTTTTAGATAAAAATAAAAATATATAATAATATATAAATAAAAATTGAATTTGATTTAAATAATGCTAATGTAACAATAACTAGATTTTTTCAAAGTGGTTAGCAATGCCTTAGTGTTTATCTGCTTCAAGATATAGATTGACATATTGAATTCGATCAGTGAAAAATTCTGTATCATATTTTCTCTGACTGAATTGTTCTTAGGGTCTTGCAAATAAAATAGTTGAGAGGCCAGGCATGGTGGCTCACAGTTGACACAGGCAGATTACTGGAGCCTAGGAGTTCAAGACCAGCCATGGTCAACATGGTGAAACCTCTTCTCTACAAAAAATACAAAAACATTCAGCCAGGCATGGTGCCATGCACCTGTGGTTCCAGCTACTTGGGAGGTTGATGTGGGAGGATTGCTTGGACAAGGAAATTCAAGGCTGCAGTGAGCTGTTATCTCACCACTGCACTCTAGCAGGGGTGATAGAATGAGATTTTGTGTCAAAAAAAAATTACAAAGTGAACATATAATTAATAGATAAAATTATGTACATGTGTTTGGATATAGCTATAAATTTAAATTTTTCTAGTAAATAAAAATTTAGAAGATCTACTTCAATTTTAAACACAAAGTAAATGTTCACTAAAAATATGGTTTGATTTGCATTTTATATAAAGATCATTTTTTAAACAGATGATTTGTAATTTCAAAGTTCAATCAGACTTTCAATCAGAATAATAGTGAAGAATCATGCCATAAAACTATATGACAAACATACAAACAAAATCATATAGTGAGCCAATTTTATACACAGGGCTATTAGTAAGAGGGTTTAGGTTAATAAGTGACAAAAACAACTTGAATACCATAGTTTTCTCTACAAAAGAAAAAACTTTAGGAAAAGCAATAGCCAGCCTTCTAAATTTTATTTATGGATAAACTTAAATAATATGACAATAAGCAAAAATGAGTGTCTTGCTAATTAAAAGAGCCAAGATATGGGTAGGATGGTTGGGGTATATTACATAAAATGTTAGGATTTACTTTGTGTCAAAACCAAAAGGTATAATGATAGTGAATGTAGAAATAGACCTAAGGAAAAAAAAATAAGTAACTGGTGAAATAAAGGACAAAAAAGGATTATAAGGAAGACATAAGAAGATCCTGGTTACAGACCAGCCTATAAAAAAACTACATTTATAAAGAATACTACATGGATAGAAGAAAAAAATGGAGTAAATTCAGAAGGGATGAAATAGATGGTTTTGTCACCAAGATAGGTTATAGGCCATTGTTCAGCAGTGCTGATTATCTGGCAGTTCCATCCCCTAGGACAGAGCAGCAAAAATTATTTTAAAATTTCAGAAACCTGAAGATTGTCAGATGTTCATTCCAAACAATTAACTGACATTAGTGTTGGGAAAAATTCTAGTACAGAAAAAAGAAAATGGAAGTAGAAGAAATGAAGGTACGGCGTTGGTATAAGTAAACTGAAGGATGGCTTCAGAATGATTATTTTTTTTTATTATACTTTAAGTTTTAGGGTACATGTGCACTTTGTGCAGGTTAGTTACATATGTATACATGTGCCATGCTGGTTAGAATGGCAATCATTAAAAAGTCAGGAAACAACAGGTGCTGGAGAGGATGTGGAGAAATAGGAACACTTTTACACTGTTGGTGGGACTGTAAACTAGTTCAACCATTGTGGAAGTCAGTGTGGCGATTCCTCAGGGATCTAGAACTAGAAATACCATTTGACCCAGCCATCCCATTACTGGGTATATACCCAAATGACTATAAATCATGCTGCTATAAAGACACATGCACACGTTTATTGCGGCATTATTCACAATAGCAAAGACTTGGAACCAACCCAAATGTCCAATAATGATAGACTGGATTAAGAAAATGTGGCACATATACACCATGGAATACTATGCAGCCATAAAAAATGATGAGTTCATGTCCTTTGTAGGGACATGGATGAAATTGGAAACCAGAATGATTTTTTCTATGTTTATATATTTTGCTTTCTCCATTTCTTGGTTACATGACTATGTGTACATTTGTACATCATTATGCTAAATGTATCTGGCAGAGTTTAAAATGATCATAGCACAATACTGTTTATTTTTCTAGTGAATCTCCTACATAATTTTTGGTAAATATTTTTTAAATGTTCGAGATGGGGTTAGCTGAAACTTTGGATCAGTTAAAAAACAATGTGTTAATACATTATTAATGGTCTTCAATATAGGAAAAATGGAAACAGACTCCTACTTGATATATTATCTTTAAAAGTTGTTGGTTAGAATGTGCAAATACTGGGTGCAGTGGCTCACGCCTGTAATCCCAGCACCTTGGGAGGCCGAGGCAGGTGGATCACTTGAGGTCAGGAGTTTGAGAACAGCCTGGCCAATGTGATGAAACCCCATCTCTACTAAATATACAAAAATCAGCCAGGTGTGATGGCCCACATGCCTGTAGTCCCAGCTACTCAGGAGGCCGAGGCATGAAAATCCCTTGAACCCGTGAGATGGAGGCTGCAGTGAGCTGAGATCACACCACTGCACTCCAGCCTGGGCAACAGAGAGAGGCTCTGTCTCAAAAACAAACAAACAAACAAAAAATACAAAAAAAATGCAAATATTAATTGGAAACCTATGATACTAAAAATTGACTTTGAAATCAAACATACCAATACATAAATAAATACTATTAGTAAAAAAAAATCACTGAACTAGGCTAGACCAGAAAATGTCAGAGAAAGAGTGATGATCCAGAATCATTGTAAATTGAATTAAGAATACAGATACACAACTAGTTTTCATAGAGGAAAGAAGGTAAATGGACACAATTTTTTTTACTGGAAAAGAGTATTTAAATTTAATTTCGGCATAACTTGTGCCATGATAGTGATGAGTGAATGAAAGACATAAAAATAATATTTGTAACCCCAGATGACTAACATTTTATGTCTTCAAATATACTTGTTTATATAAATTTAGCATAATTATTACAATGACAGGGATGAGCTTTTAATATATTACTACAAAGCTTTGCCATTAATTTCAAAGAAATTCTAGTTATAGTTTGAATTAATTTTAATTGCATTTCAATTCATCTTTCTAAGAGTTGTTACCATTGGTATGCTGAATTCTTATTTTAACCTAGAGTCTGAAAAATGAAGGTTATCTAGGAATATTAAAATAATAAATGTTTCACTGGACAGTTATTGAAACTGGAGAGTTTCCTGACCCCCCTCACAGGACTTGCAACAGGAGTGTGGCTTGTTTGTTTGGCTGCTGCACCCAAACCCCTTATGGGAGGGGAAGAATGCAGATGGGCAGGTGCAGGAACCCAGGTGAGTGCTTTTGAGCTCTGACCCCACAATAGTGCTGAGGGGTGGGTGCCTGCAACTCCCAAATCCCCAGTGGGCAGGTAACAGTGCTCCTTTAGCTCTGCTATCCACAGATGGCTTAAGTGTTAACCAGCTTAATGCCCTTTTGGTACCTGGGTTCTTCTCCAGCCTCCAGGAAGAATCAGGTCACACGGACAAATTGAAGGTTGGTAAATGCTGGGGATTTTACTGCAGAGTGGAGATGTCTCTCAGTAGGATGGATGGGGAGCTGGAAAGGGGATGGAGTGGGAAGATGATCTTCCCCTGAATTTTAGCTGTCCTGTGGCCAGTCCACTCTGACCTTCCCCAGCCTAACTCCTCTCAATGTTCAGATGCCATTTCTCTTCTCTTCTTCTCTGCCTTGCTACTCTTCTGTTCCTCTGCTTTTCTGCTCATCTACTTGTCTGCTCATGGAGTCCAGGGTTTGGAGTTTATATGGGTACAGGATGGGGGGTGTGGCAGACCAAAAGGCAACATTTGGTCACAAAAACAGGAATGTCTGTTCGCTTTTGGGGCTACAGGTTTCCAAGCTTGAGAGTGGGGCCTTTGCCTGGGAACTACTCTCTTCTACCCAGTGTTTCCCTGACTCCTGTCCATATTATTATAAAGGGGGTGCTTACTCAATATTTTAAAAATAACTTTTTTTGTACGATATCATAAGTTACACAATACATGAAATTTGAAGGTGGCAAAAAGGTCGTGGCATGTATTGATACTTAGTAAACTAGTTATTTTTCTTTTGCATGATAATGTTCCTTAGTTTAGAACTTAACAGAAAACTACTCTCCGACTATTTCTGTATATTCTTATCAGCATACTTTGTGACGGTATTATCTGCACATCAGCTTGATTAATAAATTATTTTATGTGCTTTTGATGGTCAATCCATTTTATTCTAATGGCCTCCTATTGCTGCCTCATTAAAATATAGCATTTCAAATCCATTATATTCCAATGGCCACTCATTGATTTCCTTCTTTTATTAAAACCACTCAGCCTCAACAGGAAGCCTAATCAGGATGAATCATCTCATCCTCTACAAAAATGGATGGAATATTCCTAAATCTATTTTTTGCAACTTTGAAAATACACTGTAGCTTTTAACAGATATTAAATATAATTGCTTTTCTCTTTGTAAAAATATATGCTTCTTGGTATGAACACAGTTTTCTATAGTAGTTCAGATCTGTCTGTTTTGAAATTGATATTCCCATCATCAGTGAAAATGCCAAAAGCTGCTTTTGTTACTCTGTGTAGAAGATATTCTATTTCCTGTTTTTGCTGAATATTTCTTACATATTTATATGGTCAAAGCAAATACTTTGTTTTCTTAACTCAGAAACTACTCTTCCACTTAACACAAAATATAAATACACACATATATGAATTCTATTACTCTAAAAAGTAATTTCTTAATCATCATGAAAAGTTCGTTCATTCATGAGTACCATAAGGGCTCCCAAACTCTATTTTATAAAAAATCATTTGTGATGTTTTTGCCTAATTTTGGAAACTATTGCTGTTATATATGCATATTCAACCTCAATTTGTAAATACAAATTATTTTAAAATGAGAGTTTGGTTATAATCTTTTATTATTAGCAATGAAAATAGGTAGCTGCTTTATAGAACATTGGTGTTGCAATCTTTATTTTTCTTTCATAAATGTTTTTCTATAGCATAAAATGTAAAAATATTTTTGTTTTACAATTTGTTTGAAAAAAAAAGATGCCTAGACCATGTAGTCTTAAATAGATAATGACTTTTATCTGATATTTGGTATTGTAATTTCAGGTTTTACATGATCAAACATACATTAAAATGTATTAAACAATGATCATATAACAATAATAAACTTCTGTGTACTGATAGGTAGATTTTCTTCATTTTTCTCTCTTGTAACTAATATTGGCTAATCTTGATCTTATCTTCAAAATGTTATGCAAATCCTTTTTTTGAATAGCCCTGAATCTTTTTCAGCTGGGCTGGTAAAAGTCTCTGTGACTCAGCCATCTTGGGATCAAATATCTTTATATAGCTTTTTAATGTTGAATATATGTGTAGCTCATCCTTGGAACCCATTTCTCTGCTCAGTGTCTTAATTTAAGCCATTATTAGGAGTAAATTCTGTGATCATGAAATTCCATTAAAAATAGCAATGAAGCCCAGCATAAGAAATATCAATAAAAAACATTTTAAGAAACAGGTTACATTAATTATTTACTTTAAAATGGACAGTCAAGTCTGGAAAATATTTGAAGACTTAATGTTCTTAAAGTTCTTGGCTTAGTCAGCGTAGATTAAATAAAAAACAATCCATAGTGTTGATTGTATCCTGGTAATAAGAGAGCTTGTGGTTTTTCTTTATTTTTACTAAAAACAAAACGATAAATTTATCTTTGAGTTTTTGAAGTTAATGCTTTCCCTTTTCATCCTCAGCCTACAAATTTGAGGACCCAGACTCCTCAAGACAGTTGATAGTTCATCATTTGTCTTGTTTACAAAAGAAATGGAGAACAGTTATGACTTTTTTAATACCTGAGTTAAAGTATAGGGGTCTGAGCCCCCATATTTCTGTTGATAAGCACATGTATAAGGGCACAACCAGAGCTTTTGAAAAAGGAATGTTAAGGAAATATAAACAACACCTTTATATTGGATTTTATGAATTTTCCGTCTTGGCTGTGATTCTTTGGATTTGTCTCTCTCTCCAGACTTCAGAGTGACTCTTTGCTCTCCATTTTCTAATGGGTTCAAGAAATGTCATTGCTTTTCAGTTTACTCACTATTTTTTTCTTTTCCTACATTTTACTATAATAAATTTTAAGACATTAAAATTTCAATAATTTTCTGTCATATCAGTGGTTCACAGCATTTTCAAGTATGAAGATATTTAAAATAATAAAAACATCTGCAAATGCCTCAGGATTATAGTTTCTATAAAAAATTTCCAAGACTGTACACAACAAAAGTCTTTTATAAGTTCAGTAACACTTGTAGATAATTTTGTATTTTATTACCCCACAACAAGTGCATACATTAAAAATAACATCACGTAAACAAGTTCACTTTATTTTTCCCTTAAGTTTAACAAGCAAAGCTTCCAGTTTCTACATAATATACAGTTGGGTACAAGTACTAAAAGTTTTGACAACATCAATTTTTCTTTTCAATTACACATATAACAAATATTTTATTATAGCTTTTATAAGTCAGCAACCCTTTTTAAACTTCTGAATAAATGCTTAATGCCTCATGTTACTCATAAGGGTTTTAGCATCTCAAGAGTCACTAATAATCATTCATGTTTACAATGTTGATCAAACTCTACTATATGCCAAAATACGCAAAATTCAGCAGTAAATTAACATACAAAAAATCTGTGTTCAGAGCTTATGCTCTAATCAAATTGTCCCTGTTTGTAGATGACATGATTGTATATCTATAAAACCCCTTCATCTCAGCCCAAAATCTCCTTAAGCTGGTAAGCAACTTCAGCAAAGTCTCAGGATAAAAAATCAATGTGCAAAAATCACAAGCATTCTTATACACCGATAACAGACAGAGAGCCAAATCATGAGTGAACTCCCATTCACAATTGCTTCAAAGAGAATAAAATACCTAGGAATCCAACTTACAAGGGATGTGAAGGACCTCTTCAAGGAGAACCACAAACCACTGCTCAACGAAATAAAAGAGGATACAACAAATGGAAGAAGATTCCATGCTCATGGATAGGAAGAATCAATATCATGAAAACGGCCATACTGCTCAAAGTAATTTATAGATTCAATGCCATCCCCATTAAGCTACCAATGACTTTCTTCACAGAATTGGAAAACCTACTTTAAAGTTCATATGGAACCAAAAAAGAGCCCACATTGCCAAGTCAATCCTAAGCCAAAAGAACAAAGCTGGAGTCATCACACTACCTGACTTCAAACTATACTACAAGGCTACAATAACCAAAACAGCATGGTACTGGTACCAAAACGGAGATAGAGACCAGTGGAACAGAACAGAGCCCTCAGAAACAATACCACACTTCTACAACTATCTGATCTTTGACAAACCTGACAAAAACACAAGAAATGGGGAAAGCATTCCCTATTTAACAAGTGGTGCTGGGAAAACTGGCTAGCCATGTGTAGAAAGCTGAAACTGGATCCCTTCCTTACACCTTATACAAAAATTAATTCAAGATGGATTAAAGACTTAAATGTTACACCTAAAACCATAAAAACCCTAGAAGAAAACCTAGGCAATACCATTCAGGACATAGGCATGGGCAAGGACTTCATGTCTAAAACACCAAAAGCAATGGCAACAAAAGCCAAAATTGACAAATGGGATCTAATTAAACTAAAGAGCTTCTGCACAGCAAAAGAAACTACCATCAGAGTGAACAGGCAACCTACAGAATGGGAGAAATTTTTGCAATCTGCTCATCTGACAAAGGGCTAATATCCAGAATCTACAAAGAGCTCAAACAAATTTACAAGAAAAAAACAACCCCATCAAAAAGTGGGCAAAGGATATGAACAGACACTTCTCAAAAGAATACATTTATGCAGCCAAAAAACACATGAAAAAATGCTCATCATCACTGGCCATCAGAGAAATGCAAATCAAAACCACAATGAGATATCATCTCACACCAGTTAGAATCGCAATCATTAAAAAGTCAGGAAACAACAGGTGCTGGAGAGGATGTGGAGAAATAGGAACACTTTTACACTGTTGGTAGGACTGTAAACTAGTTCAACCATTGTGGAAGAGAGTGTGGCGATTCCTCAAGGATCTAGAACTAGAAATACCATTTTACCCAGCCATCCCATTACTGGGTATATACCCAAAGGAATATAAATCATGCTGCTATAAAGACACATGCACATGTATGTTTATAGTGGCACTACTCACAGTAGCAAAGACTTGGAACCAACCCAAATGTCCAACAATGATAGACTGGATTAAGAAAATGTGGCACATATACACCATGGAATACTATGCAGCCATAAAAAAGGATGAGTTCATGTCCTTTGTAGGGACATGGATGAAACTGGAAACCATCATTCTCAGCAAACTATGGCAAGGACAAAAAACCAAACACCACATGTTCTCACTTATAGGTGGGAATTGAACAATGAGAACACTTGGACACAGGAAGGGGAACATCACACACTGGGGCCTGTTGTGGGGTGGGGGAAGGGGGAGAGATAGCATTAGGAGATACATCTGATGTAAATGACGAGTTAATGGGTGCAGCACACCAACATGGCACATGTATACATATGTAACAAACCTGCATGTTGTGCACATGTACCCTAGAACTTAAAGTATAATAAAAAACTATATATATATATATATATATATATATATATATATATTTAAAAAAGAGTTTACAGTTCAAGAGAACTTGTCTGGCTTTACAAAATAAATCTGAGAATCCTTAGGATTTAATTGGTAATTAAACTTATGTAATTTGAACTTACTTAAAGACTGAAGGATCTTAAAGAGAAAAGATGAAAGGGGTGAGCACCATGTCATGCCAATGTCTATAGTTTGGAAGACAGAAGGTTGAGTCAGACTGACCAGAGAAGTAAAAGAAAAACCAGAGAGATATAGTGCCACATAAAATAAAGCATTTGAAGGAGAAGAATGATTAAGTACTTTTAAGTTCTGTAAGGAAATGAGAACTGAGTGATAAGGGCTATGAGACGGTAGTATGAATAAAAAGAAATTTTCTCCTGAGATGGAGAGATTGTTAAAGTTGGGGTACAAAAGGAAGAGAATTGGAAAAATTATTGTCAGAGTTGAGATAATTAAAATTGAGATTAGGAAAGATATGGATTTAAAGTTTAAGACAAAGTCAAGGGTATAGTGATGCAATAAGGTAGCTAAGGTGGGATAGAGGACAAGATTATTGGAGGAGGGGTGATTATAGAACTGAAATTCTAAGAAATAAGTATATTCTACATAAATATTGAGATTAACACTTACTATAACAGAAGTGATTCTAGAAAGAGACATAAACTGCCCTGTAGAGCTGTGGTTCTAGATATAGGACCCAAGACTAGAGTAGCATAAAACATATCCAAGTATATGTATTCTCTTACCTTTTCCTAGAAGTTTTTAATTTTTTGGTAGATATTTTGAGGTAGGGTTCTGAAATTTACAGTTATAAAGGAGGCTGGAGGTTGTAATAATGCACTAACAAATAAGGAAACTAATGTCTCAAACATTGTGTTTTGTATTTATTTTTCACTTCTCTAGAACAATACCTGATTTCAACTCAATCGATCACTGCTATATCCAGCAAGTTTCCAAAAAGTTAATTTTATAGGTTAACCTTAGTACCAGGTCAAGTGACATTAAGAATTGATATAATCTGTAAATAATGTATCTTCATACAAGCAATTATATAGATTGAACCAATGCTTATAAATCTATTTATAATATATTTTCTTTTTCTTGAAACATTTATATTTTCGTATGTTATATTTAAAATATATTTTGCATATGTTAAGCCATCCTTGAATCCTGGGATGAATCTCATTTAATCATGGTGAAAGATTTTTTTCACAAATTCTAAAATTTTCCTTTTGTGTTTCTCAAATCCTCCCATTTTACTTTCAATATAACTATTTTAACATTTTTATTAGCTATTCTATTTCTACTACTTTTTTAAAACCAAGTAAATAATTAGACAGCCACATAAAAATTCACTTTCTCTTCTACTTCCTTTTGGTTTTTACATCATTTATTTAAAATATTACAGAATGTCAGTCACCACACAAGGCAGAAAGGAGAAATTAAAAAAATAACATTTGAACATGGGTCCTTCACTTGAGAAGTCTCTAGTTTACCTGGATAAAAGGTGTGGAAATGCACAATTGCAGTGATGAAATGTGTTCTCCAGCCAAGGCATGGACAAGGCCATTGAGGAAACTTCTAAACTTCCTGATGCCATCATGGTGGCTTCCTGGAAGAGATGGCATTTGATGTGAAATATTACAGTGAAGGAGAAATTTTCTTCCTATGTATAGACTGATGATACACCAGAAGGAGCAAAATGAAGTATCATATGAAAAAGTAAAAAAGACAATAAGGCATGATGGTTTTCTGAAAATTGCAAATGTTAGGAAATAGCATGAAATAAGGAGCCTTATAAAGAAATGGAAGGGTAAGAGGCTAAAAAAGCAGATAGTCTTGGAGTATGAAAAGCTACTAAAAGAAAATCAGATTTTTCCCTCAAGTTTATAAGGAAATATTTAATGTGTTTAGTTAAGAGAGTCTTATGATTTTATTTTTGTTCATATAGGATATATAACATTTCACTAAATATAATAAAAACGTGAGATTCCATGTTTTCAGGCATTAATTTTTCTAAGACAAGACTAATCTAGTCAGCAATGTAGTGTTAGTCTTTTAATGAAAAACAGACTATGTTTTCATGAATAGTAGACTTAAATAATTTGCAACTTTTTTGATGTTTTTTGTCTGCCCTCTTTTCCCAATGACAATTTCTTGCCCATATTTTACAAGTTTCACACAAATGAGCTAGGTTGGCACAGCCTAAATGTGATAAGTATTATAAAAGACATTGGAAAATTGATAGGACAGAATTTAATAATAAAATATCTGATTTCAATTCCCATTACATATTCAGTAACCAGAGGGAAGTATTTTTAATACTCTATCATAGTGATGTTGATTATTTTTCAAATGTTTATTAAATTTTAGTGAAGTGTTTACATTCATTAAATCATATGTATATGTAATTATTAATTAACCTTAAATTTTTTAGCATGTTAGCTATTAGTTTAAGGGTAAAAATTACTTCCAAATTTATAATGTCAAAATAGAACTTAGTAGCACTAATCTATAACTAGTAATTAATGTAACTTGTTAGATCAAATTTAGCCTAAAGCTGATTTCTTACATATTTGATGTTTGGCCTAAAGGTTTCTCTGTACATCATGAACTATAACCTAAACAAAGTTGTATACAGACTGTAGCCTGCTCTTGTGCCAATTACCAAGTTTTGGCCAATCAAAGGTAGCCAGCTGTTCAAACCATGTTCAAATAAGGTAGACATCAAGCTGTAACCAATCCAGCTGTTTCTGTACCTCAGTTCCATTTTCTGTACATCATGGGAGGCTGCTCAATTCTCAAATTGTTCTTTGCTGAATTAAACTCTGTTAAATTTAAATTGCCTAAAGCTTTTCTTTTAACAGATGGCATCAGAAATAGGATCTGAAATAGAGCTTCTAATGAGCCCCAGAAGCGCTGAGTGACCAAGAGAGGTACCCATCAGGCCCATTGTGTCCATTTCTCTCTTGGAGCAGCAGAGGATTGTGGTAAATTCACTCTCGGATTCCGAAGCTCCGTGGATTTTCATTTTGAGCTTTCTGACTTTCTTTGAACAAATTTCTGATCCAAACTGGGTTTGGAAGTTGCAGGAGAAACTGAACTGGGTCCAGGGTCAGATTGGATCTGATAATTAACTGGCTTGAATCCAGTTTGAGGCCCTTTATATCTGACTGGGTCAGAAAGAACCTGATAGTAAATGGCAATATTGCTGAGGTTGTAAAATTTGGCTTTTGGATATTCGCAGAAATTTTTGTGTTCTACCTCTTTATTTTTCTCTTGTGTTTGGGTAGGGAATAAAACCATTGGCTAACTTGATCAATGAAACCTCAGAGCCAAAGCCAATATTTGAGGTAAAAATGGGATCCTTAATTTATGAAGGACTAAATACCATCCAGCATATGTATAAATATTAGGCCCCAAAGGCAGCAAAGTATTACAAAAATGGTGAAATCATACTAAAGATAAGTTACAGAGCAATGTTCCAAATGACCAACACTGCACTGAAGTGCATTTGAAAATAAGGGCTCCCAAATTAATCTCATCTAGGGAGGCCTATTTATATACAGAAGCTTCTAAAAAGATTTCAATATTTTTATGTAAAGACTTTGTAAAAGGCAAATGAAAAGCTTAAGCAAGTAATTGATGAGACTAATTAAACCTGCTAAACTTTTGGCTTAGTTACTATCCTGCCCCAAAGGCAGAAAGAAGGCTATCCTAGATAAGGTGTTTATAAAATGTAAAATAAATGTGCTCCTTTTTCGGATCTATCCATGCTGAGTCCAGGCATACAATGCTTTGTTGGTCCTATTCCTTAGTGGGCTCCACCCAGTAACCTGAACTCAGGTGATTTTAGCTTAAAAACACCCTATTAAACTAAAATAAATTTTTCTGTAATTTAATTGACTATTCCTTTTTTATTCTGAAATGTAATTGGAAATTCTTTTGTGAAATAAATACCCTTAAAAATTTGAGACTTCCTTTATAGATGTATGTCTGCCTATGTACATTAGAAAGTTTTATCATTCTTTTTAACTTACATAAGAAGTCATAACTCTTCTGGCCATCTTGCCTTAAGTGAACTTTTATTTCAGCAAGTTTTATTTCCTTGGTTTGAGAAAATGATGATACAATATTTAGGCCTAGAATCTTAGCTCTGTGCTTATAAAAAATAATTTGTTTTGTTCCACCTAAGGGTTGTATCTTTAGAAACGCAAATTTGTTGCCTAGTTAACAATTGCTTAGGGCAATGAAACTGGTAATTCGAAGAGTGATAGACCAAATGGGGAAAAGAAAATCTATTTAAAAGCCAGTAAATAAAAATATTTTATAAGACCATAAGGTCTGCTTCTGTGTATTTTATGTCTATAGTGTCTTATGTATGTGATATTTGGTAAATAAAATTAGTTTTTATTGTTCTTTTTTTATTGAGGGATATTTTATTTTATTTTAACTTTTAAGTTCAGGGATACAGCACAGGTTTCTTACATAGGTAAACTTGTGTCATGGGGGTTTCATGTGCAGATTATCTCATTATATAGGTATTAAGCCTAGTACCCATTAGGTATTTTTCCTGATTCTCTCCATCCTCCCACTGTCTACCATCTGAAGGTCCCATTGTTTATTTTTTCCCTCTATGTTTCCATGTGTTCTCATCATTTAGCTTCCATTTGTAAGTGAGAACATGCAGTATTTGGTTTTCTGTTCCTGAGTTAGTTTGCTAAGGATAATGGCCTCCACCTCTATCCATATCCCTGCAAAGGATATGATCTTGTTCTTTTTTATGGCTGCATAATATTCCACAGTGTATACATACCACATTTTCTTTATCCAGTCTATTGTTGATGGGCATTTTTTAGGTTGATTCCATGTCGTGCTATTGTGAATAGTGTTGTGTTGAACGTATTTATGCAAGTGTCTTTATAATAGATCAATTTATATTCCTTTGGGTATGTACCCAGTAATGGGATTGCTGGATCAACCTCTAGTTCTGTCTTTAGGTCTTTGAGGAATCACCGTACTATCTCCCACAATGGCTGAACTCATTTACACTCCCACCAACAGTGTATAAAAGTTCCTTATTCTCCACAATCTCACCAGAATCTGTTATTTTTTTCACTTTTTAATAATAGTCATTCTGACTGATATAATAAGGTATCTCATAGTGGTTTGGGTTTGCATTGCTCTAATGATTAGTGATGTTGAGCTTTTCTTCATATGCTCCTTGGCTGCATGTATGTCTTCTTTTGAAAAGTGTCTGTCTGTTCATGTCCTTTGCCTACTTTTGTACATTTTTTTTCTTGTAAATTTGTTTAAGTTCCTTATAAATTCTGGTTATTAGACCTTTGTCAGAAGCATAGTTTCAAATATTTTCTCCCATTCTGTAGGTTGTCTATTTACTCTGTTGATAGTTTCTTTTGCTGTGCAGAAGCCCTTTAGTTTAATTAGATTCCACTTGGCAATTTTTCCTTTCCTTGCAATAGTTTTTGGCATCTTTGTCATGAGGTATATGCCTGTGCCTGTGTCCTGAATGGTATTGTTTAGGTTGTCTTCCAGGGTTTTTATAGGTTTAGGTTTTACATTTAAGTTTTAATTCATCTTAAGTTAATTTTTATATATAGTGTAAGGAAAGGGTCCAGTTTCAATCTTTTGCATATGGCTAGCCAGTTATCCCAGCACTATTTATTGAACAGGGAATCTTTTTCTCATTACTTGTTGTTAGATTTGTCAAAGATCAGATAGTTGTAGTAGATGTGTGGTCTTATTTCTGGGTTCTCTAATCTGTTCCATTGGTCTGTGTGTCTGTTTTTGAATCAGTACCATGCTGTTTTAGTTATTATATACCTGTAGTATAGTTTGAAGTTGGGTGGCATGATGTCTCCAGTTTTTTCTTTTTGCTTAGAATTGCACTGGCTATTTTGGCTCTTTTTAAAGCTAGTTTTTAAAATGTTGGTATAATAGAAATGGTTTCTAAATTATCAGCCAAATATAATTTGATACTTGTTTTATTTGACTATAAGTTTTTGTCTTTGGTTTAGAGTCTCTGGATTCAGGGGTCTGGATAGGTGGCCATGATGAGGTCTGGAGACATGTTCTTAGTGCAAGCACCTGCAAGCCAGAATGGTCCTTTTTCCCTCTGCTTTCCCTGTTTCGTCTCCTGGCTGTTTTAGATCCTCCATGTGTAGTCTTCACAGCTTTGTCTTCTGTCCTAATGGACTTAGGCCTTTACATTCAAGTCATCCTGGGTGACATGTGGCTATCTGGGACCTAGAATTACTGGGAGGAAACATTAAGGAAGCTACCAGTGTCAAGGCTTCAAAATCGTTTTCTGTAATTTAAGATCTTAAAGTCATAGTCTGGGTGCAGTGGCTCACACCTGTAATCCCAGCACTTTGGGAGGCCAAGGTTGGCGGATTATCTGAGGACAGGAGTCTGAGACCAGCCGGCCAACATGGTGAAATCCCATCTCTACTAAAAATACAAAAATTAGCTGGGCATGGTGGCACACACTTGTAATCCTAGCTACTTGGGAGGCTGAGGCAGAAGTGCTTGAACTCAGGAGGCGGAGGTTTCAGTGAGCCGAGATCGTGCCACTGCACTCCAGCCTGGGCAACAGAGCAAGACTCCATCTCAAAAAATAAAAATAAAAATAAATAAATAAATAAAATCTTACGGTCATGTTATATTAAATTAAGTAATAGATAATCACTTAAATCTGAGTCATCTGTAAGTTAAGATACTGAAATATTAATTATTAAATATTAGTTTAGCTCTATATTCCTTGAAATTTATATTCATATGGAAAAGAAAAGCTAAATATATTTAGATCTGCTAATAAACAATAATTTGAAGAATTATTTTTCTAAAAGAATTATAAAATTGTTTTCATCTACAAACATAAATATAAAACAGTTAAAAATTACTTTCTAGTGTTCTCAATAGAAATTAGAGTTACTAAGAGTTTAAAACTATTAGATATAAGAAAAACAATTCTGTATACAGAGTATACAAACAAAAGCAAAATATATATTTGATTAGGAAAGTAATGAAGGCATAAAATGTGTTTTTCTGGTTTAAATTTACTTAAAGATTTCACACTGGAGTAAAAAACAGATAAAATAAGATGAATATAGGAAGTTGAGGAAAAATGTAAAGTGAAAGGTTTATAGAATTTTAGTGTGGTTAAAAATGACAAATTGAATAAAGTTATGAGGTTTTATTAACATTAGTTTTAATATTCATAATACACTAATACAAAGCAAAATTCAGTTTTCTATTTTGCACAAAAATTTTATGTAATATTAATAAGACACATCAAAATATTTTTATTCATCTTTTGAGCAAACTGCAAAAGAGAGGAAAGAAGAAGAGAGAGATTCTGTATCATCATGCTGTCTTATGGCTTTTGATTATTTGGAAAACTCTATGTCCATTATAGGTTTTTGTTTTTAAAAATCTTTTCATTATCACTCTTGTTAAATGAATGACTGTTGTTTTACAGTGATCTGTGATCCTTTTTTGTTCAAGTGTTTTAAACCTTTGACATAATTGACACAGTCTTTTCAAAATCAAATTTCAGCTTCAAAACTAATTATTTTTGACCTCTACATTTGGGATGCTGCAGAGGGCCCCTGAATCATCCAAAAGAGAGGTAAACAGGATGATTTGATGTGTTAAGTTAAATGGGAAGCATTGTCAAATAATAAATAATGTTTAATCTTCAGGTTATATTTTAATGAATGTTATTAAAATATGATCCAAAATTCTATGAGATTTTTAAAATGCTAATATGTCTGAGTATAGGCTATCAATCATAATTACGTGATTAAGTTATTGTAGACCACAAAAATAACCAAATTTTCTTGTCAATTGTGTCTTTGACTATTGAAAGTCAATCCCACAGTTAATTGCTTAATTCTGATGTTTCTGAAACCTTCATAAGCATGTTAAATCCTAAAATAGGCCAGGTGTGGTGGCTCACGCCTGTAATCCCAGCATTTTGGGAGGCTGAAGCAAGCGGATCAGGAGGTCAAGAGATTCAGACCATCTTGGTCAACATGGTGTAACCACATCTCTACTAAAAATACAAAACTTAGCTGGGTGTGGTGGCATGTGCCTGTAGTCCCAGCTACTTGGGAGGCTGAGGCAGGAGAATCATTTGAACCCAGGAGGTGGAGGTTGCAGTGAGCCGAGATCATGCCACTGCGCTCCATCCTGGTGACAAAGCAAGACTCCATCTCAAAAAAAAAAAAAAAAAAAAGAATACAATGTCTTTAAGGAGGTTCATGAAAGGATAAAAGGAACCCTGAAAAGCAACCTTGAATACAGGTATTTGATAACTTTAGCATCATATCATTTGGACTGGGTAAGAATTCCTGAAACTGTAATGAAAAGTCTGACTGGTTGATAAAACTGCTAACCCAAGCAGAAAAAAAAAAATTAATTGAATAACAAGAAAATACTTTCCCAGATTTTCATGGTAAATCAACCAATAATGAAATTGTTTAGATATACAATTTGAATGAACTCCGTGGTCTAAGTCAAATTACCTATGATAACCTATCAGTCATCAGTGTTACATACCTTAATTGGAGAAACAACTGGTATTCAAGAGGACATAAGTCCAATGTTAAGCATGAACTCATGAGAACCAGGATGACTGCCTTGTCTTTTCTGAGTCCTTAAAGCTTTTGTTATTAAAAGCTTTGAGCTATACACACACACACACACACACACACACACACACACATATGAAAAGCTTTATATATATATATGAATGGTGACTTCTAAATTGCTAAAGTACTTTATGACCAATGTTTGGTTTGTCAAACCCATATTCCCGAGAAGATAATTAAAACTTCAGGTACATTCCACTACCTGATGGACCATTTAAATATTTATAGAAGGATTTCATTCAGTCATTTTCAGTGCATATCTTCTGGTTGTATAAAAGCTTTTTCATGCAAGAGGGCTGATGTTTTAACAGTAGCTCATTATAACACAGTGTATTTTCACCAGGTAAAGAAAGCTTTTCAAGTTTTACTGACTGAAGACAATCAACCCTCTTCACAACTGAGAACCTGAAGATTGAATCTTCTGAGAACATCAGAGAAAGACTACCCTTGCCATCCATACTGCAGAAAAACTTCAGGACCTTGAACCTTGGGTTCATAATCTAACAACTCAGAAGTGTCTCTCCACACTCTTGGAACAGTACACCCATTGGAAACCTTAAGGTAAAGCTAACCAGGAAAGTTTTTCCACAGAACAAGGCATCCTTAATGTGAACAGCTTTTTCTCAAGATAAAGATCAAGATTTCTCCACTATCATAATACTCTTATCTTTCCGTTTTTACCCTTGCTTATGCCTCTATGAACAATAGGAATGAAAGGAGCTCTGTTGTGCAGACTTATAAGGTATACTTTTATTTGTAAAGATTCTTACAGCCAGCCTTATACATGGATAACTCTATGACTTAATAGATGGAAGATGAAGGCCTAATGGAGGTGAGATATTTTGTTGGTACGCACACTGTCTCATAATCAGTAAGAAATAGACATTTGTCTGTTAAAGAGACATGGGTTAAAGAGAACGTTTCCAGGAGGTCTTTACTCTTCTAAAAGGGAACCGTTTTTTAGGTCTTTTCTTTCTCATAGTTTGGAGTAAAGGAGACAATGATTAAAAATTTAGCCTCGTAATAGGCTCTGTAGCAGATTTTACTATAAAGGCTATGGGTGCACAACAGACTTTAAATTGTCTTGTGAAAGTTATTCTAAATAATAGAATTGCTCTAGATTACTTACTAGCTAAACAGAGAAGTATCTGTGCAGCTACTGGCACTAGTTTTCCATGGAAAAATACATCACATTAGGTATGATAGAGATTCATTCGTAGGGGATTAACAGTCTACTTAGTTAAAGCGAGCAGACTCTTTATCCAGCTCGTTCCTTGATCTATTTAATTTTAGGTGATTTGGTTTATGGGGACCCTGGCCAAGGAGCATAATTCAAACTCTTGATATTGTCCTCCTGATAGTCATAATAGTAGTCTCCCTGGTGCACCATGTTCTCTCAAGTTTTAAATGTTTGCATGCAACCACCTTTCAAATGTTAAATGGTATCTCTTTTTTTTTTTTTTATTGAAGTCAGTGAGACAAAGAACCCACCAATTCCGGACACACTAATTCCTTCTTTTAGCATAATGAAGGCAGATAATTTTCTATAATAAAGGGAGGGCTTTTCTGGGAATTGATTGGGCAATTCCCAGAATCAGTGCCATCCTTTTTTTCTTACTAAATATGTTTAATCTGAAACTGTTATGGCACCAGGTGTATGATGGGAATAGGAGGTTTCCCCATGGAAATATTATGGTAATGGGAGCATAATGCAGTCAAGGGTCAGCAGCTAGTCAAGTTTTCAGCCATCTTGGATTTAACCACTTGTGGATTTATCTACTAGCAGTTTTTTCTTTGTTAGGATATTCTTATTTGTGCCTAAACAAGATATCTATAATCTGTCTTCATTGTTATAACCTGTTGCAACAGTTCTTTGCTAGTAGGGGACATGTCTTTGTGATAATGTGTTTGGTCCTATTTGTATTGCTTTGAGCCACCTGCAAGTAATCATGTCCTGTTTCCTCGCTAAATGCCTGCCCTACTTTCACATATTTTGTTAAAGAAGGCAATGAAAATTCTTGCTTTTTTCTTTATTTGAGTTTTGAAAATAATAAATAATTACCTTAACATCCACCAGGAATAATTAATCAGATGTCTGTTTGCTTGATTGTCTATTGGAAGGGAACATACACACTTTGAATGTAGATAAATTGATTCCATTTATACAGTTGTAATTGCTGATATGCTTTTTTAAATGTCCCAAATAGAATTTAGCAATTTTACTTATGCATTATGAAATATCCATACCTCAAATTTATATTCTTGCAGGTAAAATTGGAATTACAATGAATATATATGGTAATTTTGGCCAAGAGATAATTGTGGGCCCTTCTTTCACCTTGGCAAAATGTGAGCCTAGAGTTTAGAATTGGAGACACCCAGGACAAGTACTGCGTACATGGTGGGTACAGGAAAACTTAGTTCTTAAAGATATTTAAAACTCTGATGTAGATAGGAATTTTAATTTAGGCCTACAAGAGCCCACACAGACAGAAAAAAGACTTTTTAGCTCAATCTAACTTTTAATATTTTACTATTGAATTTTATCACTTTATGTTTATAATCATAATAAATATTTAAATTCATGTCATCTTAAAATATGCCTTTCAATATTTTCAAGTTTTCTTCTTCCTTTGTTAACCTATTGGTATTTTCCCACATGCATGATTTTTTTTGTTTACATATATTTTGTGACATTTATAAAATAATACAATCTCTTGGAAAGCATGTTATTCTTTTTATCTTTCAAAATACCAAAGGCAGTTTTTTGCATTTAGTGTTTCTGTTATGATAGCTTTCAACATTTACATTTAATATAATATTTCCTATATGGTGAACTTATATTTTTTAAATTAATACTTTCAGAATAGATAATAAGCTTAATTGCTGATATTGTCTGCCTAGAAAGGAGTTTCCCAAGGCCTAGTGCACTGGCTCACACCTGTAATCCCAGCACTTTGGGAGTCCGAGGCATGTGGATCACGAGGTCAGGAGTTCAAGACCAGCCTGGCCAACATAGTGAAACCTCATCTCTACTAAAAATACAAAAATTAGCCGGGTGTGGTGGTGGGTGCCTATAGTCCCAGCTACTTGGGAGGCTGAGGCAGAGAATAGCTTTAACCTGGGAGGTAGAGGGTGCAGTGAGCAGAGATCGTGCCTCTGCACTGCAACCTGGGAGACAGAGCAAGACTCCATCTCAAAAAAAAAAAAAGAAAGGAGTTTCCCAAAATGTGTATACTATGTATATAAAGACTATTTCATTCATACCTTAGATAATTTTTTTTAGTTTTAAATAAATATAACAAGGCATAACAAACATATAACAAACATAAATATTTACCCAAAGGAAGAAAATTGCCAACTAATAAATTACTGTGATTCCTCATTTGCATTCTATAAATCAAAAGTAACCGGGATATTTAAACAAAACAATGAAAGCGAAAAGTTTGTACTGTGCAATATTGGCTTTAAATATAAAAACGAGGTCATTTTTAGATCTGTATCTATGGTTCTTTTTTTCTTCTGGTCTAATTGTATGCCTGATAATCTTCACTCTAGACATTTTGTATAAAAAATTGCATGTTGCCAGATTATGCTTTCTTTCTCCAGTGAGAGGTCATCTTATTTTTTAATAGGTGGCCTGTGTTGGGGGACATCATCTTAGTACAGTCAGAGACTGACCTGCCTTGAACTTGCCTTGTCAGTTTTGTAAGGATCAGTTTACTTCTGTTTCACTCCATGGCATTTCTGCATGTCTAATGACAGTTTTCTTCCAAACTGTATTTTTAAGTATGTTTGTGTAGAAAATAGTCCTGGAAGATAAAGTTAGTTTTTCTCGCCAGGCTAAAAATCAGTAGATGTTTTGTTTGCTTATTTGTTGTTTTTTTCTGCTCAGAATAATATTGGCACTATTTCACTTAAAGGCAAAAGTTAGGCAAGTTTGCCATTAAGTCCCTTAGAAGACTGGCAGCACTCTAAGCTTAATAATTCTCACTTGTGGCATAGACACACTGTTTCGTCTCCCTGCACCTGATTTTATATTGCTCCTATGTGACTTACAGGGAAATAGTAACCAAAGCTAATGCACTGTCTGCTGTGCTGTGAGTAATAAAGTTTTGTCTCTAATTCAGGAGTCTCATGTATTCTGGCAGCATCTGTGAAACTATAGCAGGCTTCCTTATCAGGTAAAATCTTAGTCCCTTCACATTTCTTGATATTCTTAAGATTAAGTCTCACTAGGTCCCAAGTGGAATTTGGCATAGTTAGTAGAGGCCTTCCTTTTTGACAGGTCCTGAACTCCATTTTTTTTCCTACTTTTATTTTAGATACAGGAAGTGCATGTGTAGATTTGTTACAAGGGAATACTGCATGATGCTGAGGTTTGGAATATGGATCCCACACTCACGTAGTGAGCATAGTAGCTAATGGAAGATTTCTTAACCCAGCCTCTCCCTCCACCATTTGGTAGTCCACAGCGTCTATTGTTTCCACATTTATGTTCGTATGTGCTCCATGTTTAGCTCCCCCTTATAAATGACAACATGCAAAGTATTTGGTTTTCTGTTCCTGCATCAAATTGTTTAGAATTATGGCCTCCAGCTTCATCCATGTTGCTGGAAAGGATGTGATTTTATTTGTTTTTTATGACCGTATAGTAACCCATGGTGTATATGTACAACATTTTCTTTATTACATTTACCTTTTATGGGCACCCGGGTTGATTTCATGTCTTTGCCACTGTGAATAGTGCAGCAACGAACATAGGAGAGCATATGTGTTTTGGTAGAATGATTTATTTTCTTTTGGCTATATACATAGGTATGGGATTGCTGGGTCAAATTGTAGCTCTGTTTTAAGGTCTTTGAGAAATCTCCAGTCTGCTTTTCACAGTGGCTAGACTAATTTTCATTCCAACCAACAGTGTATAAGTGCTGAACTCCAATTTTTATCTTCTCAGCAATGTGAGACTGCAAAAATTCTGGTGTGCTTTTTATTGACTTTTTGCTTTCGTTCTTAATGTCTGGCTCTCAGCACATTAAGAAATCAGCTAATGCTTTGAGGGGAAAAACTTGCTGAGACAGGTTCCTCACTTCTCTCTTTCTGGATCATGTCCCCTCCAGTGCTGTTACCTGAAAATGTCTAAAATCCATTTTTGACATCAGCACTATGATCTTTTCCTAAATTTTGTTGGCTTTTCCATATTTTAAGTGTGATATTATTTCAGAGTTTTCAGACATATACCTTACTCAAAATTAAGCACAATCCATGTGGGGACAGCTACTCAGAAAATTTTGATTCACATTTATATTTCCTTATTTCCTTTGCTCTAGGCTTTCAAGTCCTGGTTGCCTCAGTAGCTCTTAGGTGCCCTCAAAACATGCGCTTGGCCTACCTGCCTTCCTTCTTTTCTTCCCTTCCCCTCCCTCACTTGCTTCGTTCCTTCCTTCCTTCCTTCCCTCCTTCCCACCTTCCCTCCTTCCCTCCTGCCCTCTTTCCCTCCTTCTCTGCTTCCTTCCTTCCTTACCTCTTCTTTACTTCCCTCCTTTCTTCTCTCCCTCTATTTTTTTCTTCTTACTTTTCTAGTTCTTACCAGCAATAATGTTCTGCCACAAGCTATTCTACTGTAGCCAGTGATATAGCATTTACTTTATATGTTATGTATATTTTAATAAAAATATAATATTAAATTAGCTTTTGTAGCATTTTAGTAAAAGTATCTCTCGAAAGCTAGTTTTCTCTCTTTCAATAGTATAGGCAGTGTTTAAAATCAACAACAGACTGTTTCCATTTCATATATCTTTTGCTAAACATGTGAAGCAATGTTTTGTAGACTATAGAATTGCACAAATATGAAATTTTATAAAATTTTACTCTACAAAAAACCCCATTTCTAATAACAATTCGATCTTGCCAATTCACCTCAACCAAGTATTTTAACTATTAGATTCAGATCTATGACTAGATAGGGGCTTAGTTAAATTCAGCATTTTCTTGTTCATTGTTCTTATGTTCTTTCAACATTGACAGGTATTGTGGCATATATGTATTGTGAACACGATACATTATGCCGCAGGTATTGTGGCAGATATGTATAGTGAGTAGTGATCACTATCTCTCTCCTTTTAACATAAACAATCCATGGTGTTAAATATGAAGAATTAAGTAATCTATTCCTATTGACTCAGCTTCCAACCTCAGCTATTGCTGCCACTACTGGTCTCTGAGTCCCATACTTACCATTGATCAGCTCCCACTTTGCCCATCTATTTCACATTCTCAAGTCTACAGCTTCTTCACGTTTTGCTACTAACACTCCCTGACAAGCATCTAACTCTCAACTCTGAGTAGTATTTTATGCTTCATTTGGATATGTTTTTTTTATATTCTCCCTACCCTGTAGAAGCAGAAAGAATATTTGAAGGCGTAAGATGAGTTTGGGTATCTAATTCTCTGTCTTCATTATAATATTGTGGTAATGATATTTGGTATGGGTAACTGGAAATTGCCTCTTGCCAGAAACTCAAATCAATAATATGAAATAAACCTCCTCTCACATTTCCAGAATTATCTAGGGGTTTGTATTAATTCTCTTTGGTTTGTTTCCTAAGAGGACGATAGGCAGCAGGGACTTACACTTGCTCTCATTTCCCAGTCATATTAAATCACAAAATACCTTCTTGGTTGGCCACTGTAGGATGAAACAAATGTTTATGCCATTATATTATCTTTTTTTAACCTTATATACTATGATATAAGGTTATGTGTCAGTGCACTCAAGCTTTGATCAGAATACACTGGGCCAAGTTTTAAAATTCTGAAGTGAATCTTCTCTTTCATAGTGTTGTGCTATGCAAACAAAAATGCTTTTGATTTAAATCTGTAGTCTGTCATGAGTTTTAAAAATAATCTCAACATTTAATTAACTTCTTTTTGAGGAACTGTACTTTCCCTCTCTCTAAGCAATAAATGGTAGTCTCACTTGATAGTCAACTGTGATGCAACAAAATTTATGTTCCATGAGGGGGCTCAGAAGATACACCATTCAGGAAGTCCACCAGAATTGTGTTGGTGAGATGGGTGATAGTGTTGCTAGGAAGATTGGCGGTTTTCCTCCACCGGTCCTGCCTGATGGTAGGTAAAGCAATGAAGAGCTAGGCTCATTAATATTGATGGAGTTGACAGGGCTTCAAATTAATGAGTGTCAAGTGCTAATGCTTAATCATCAGAAGTCAAGATGTCATAATTACTATAACAAAATGGACAGCCAAAAAAGCTTGATCCACAGTAATTTGTGAAGTTGGTTAACTGAGCATGATGTTCTAAGGTAAAAAAGGGAAAAAGAAGCAACAGAGTCCTGGGAAGATGGAAGAGTAGGAAGTACCAGGAATCTGTTTAACCACATAGAAAGTAATTGCACTGGCAGTTTGTCTGATATAACTATTTTGGAACCATGGAGTCTATTGATGCTTTGCAACTTCTAAGGGAACGTTTGGATATAAAATTGTGGTTAATTCAGTCAATTTCAGCTCTTAGTTTACAGCCCTCATCATCCTCTGCACCCATACCCCATGGTAAGTGGCTGCACACATGTTCCTGGAGCAGCTTGCATAGCTTGCAGGAGCCACAGTGGGCAATAAGGACTCTGTTCCCCCAAAATCAGGGATCTGTGTTCTGATCATTGACTGCTGCCTCTCATTAAAGAGGTATAGATATAGAGATGGGAAACTGCTGTAATCTGAAGGTTTGTATTCCTCTAAAATTCATATGTTGAAATCCTACGTATTACTTAAAATAATAGTACTAAGAGGTGGGAAATTTCAGTGGTGATTAGGTCATGGGGGTGGAATCCTCATGAATGGGATTAGTGTTCCTATAAACAATGCATGAGACAGACCCCTCACCCTTTCCATCATGTGAAGACAAAGCAATAAAGCACTGTCTATGAGGAACTGTCCCTCACCAGACACCATTCTGGTGGTGCCATGATGTTGGACTGCTCCAGAAATGTGCAAATAAATTTTTGTTGTCCATAAACTACCCAGTTTGGGCATATATGGTTATAACAGCCTGAATGGACTAAAAAATTGATACAAAGAAGGGGGTATCAAGAGCTGAAGAATTACAACAGAGAGGAAGCTGCTGCCCAGCCCTGCTTCACATCATGGGCTTCACTTCTTACCCTTTACAGCCGTGTTCCTCCACTGCCCCAGGGGTGGCTCCAGCAGGCCATAATGCTGCAAGTGCTATTCCCAGTGGAGCTGTGGTGGCAGGGCCACTTCCAGGACCTCAAATCTGTAGAGCTCTCAGCAAGTAATTCCAGCATGGAAAAGTTGTAGGCATGTTACTCCAACCTGTGAGAGCTGTGATGTGGCCTTCACTCAGCAAAACCATGAGCCCTACTCCTACACAGAAGCTGTAGGTCCAG
The DNA here is from genome assembly GCF_000001405.40 of Homo sapiens. Classification (NCBI taxonomy): domain Eukaryota; kingdom Metazoa; phylum Chordata; class Mammalia; order Primates; family Hominidae; genus Homo; species Homo sapiens. Next base: position 164,066,523 of record NC_000003.12, on the reverse strand, counting down.
GGTCTCCACTGCAGTGGGCCTGAAAGTGGATCTACAGCCATTAGTGGGCCAAAGGCAGAGCATCAAGCCAAAGAAGATAGTCAGATAAGATTATTCTTAATTGTTAAGATTGAATGTTAGGTTTTAGATCTGCTTGAGATCTGTCATTTCTTTTTTTGTTGTTTGTTTCTCTCTTTTGGAATGACAGTGCCTATTTTTTTGCCCATCTTATACAACATGTTTAATTTCAGAGTTTTACAACTCAAGATCAATTTGCATCAAAATTAAAGATACCTTAAGTCCCACCCATATCTGAGTTAGAAAATATTTAGATAATACGTCAAACTTTTAAGTTGATAATGGAACGAGTTAGGACTTTTGAGCCTAGTGGGATGAAATGAATGCATTTTGCATGTATGAAGAGCATAAAATTTGGGAGTCCAGAAGTGGAATGTTATAATATTTGTGTTGCCGAAAATTTTTATGTTGAAATCCTAATCTCTAAGGTTATAATATTTGGAGGTGGGGCTTTTGAGAGGTTAGTTGGTCCTGAGGGTAAAGACTTCAGAATGGAATAACTGCCTTGTAAAAGAGGTCCAAGAGAGATCTGTCACTGCTTTCATCACTTATGAGGAAGAAGCCCCTCACCAGACATCAAATCTGCCAGGGCCATGATGTTAGTGTTCTCAGCTTCCAAAACTCTGAAAAATTAAATTATGTTGTTTATAAACCACCCAATTTATGATATTTTTGTTATAGTAGCCCAAATAGACTGTATTAGTCCATTCTCACACTGCTAATAAAGATATACCTGAGACTGGGTAATTTATAAGAAAAGAGGTTTAATTGACTTGCAGTTCAGCATGGCTGGCGAGGGCTCAGGAAACTTACAATCATGGCAGAAGAGTAAGCAAACAGGTCCTTCACATGGTGGCAGCAAGGAGAAATGCTGAGCAAAAGGGGAAAAAGTCCCTTATAAAACCATCAGATCTAGTGAAAACTCACTCACTGTTATGAGAACAGTATAAGACTAACTGCCCCCCTGATTACATTACTTCCTACGGGGTCCCTCTCATGATATGTGGCGATCATGGGAACTACAAGATTAGATTTTGGTGGGTATACAGCCAAACCATATCATTCTGCCCCTGCCCCCTCTGAAATCTTACATCCTCACATTTTAAAACCCAATCATGCCTTTCCAACAATTACTCCAAAGACTTAATTCATTTCAGAATTAACTCTAAGTCCAAATCCAATGTCTCATCTGTGACAGGCAAGTCTCTTCTGCCAATGCCTGTAAAAACAAGTTAGTTACTTCCTAGATACAATGAGAATACAGGCATTGGGTAAATACACCCATTCCAAATGGGAGAAATTGGCCAAAACAAAGGAGTTACAGGCTCCATGCAAGTCTGAAATCCAATAGGGCAGTCATTAAATCTTAAAGTTCCAAAATAATCTCCTTTGACTCCAGGTCTCATATTCAGGTCATGCTGATTCCAGAGGTGGGCTCCCACAGCCTTGGACAGCTCTGCCTCTGAGGATTTGCAGGGTACAGCTCCCATCCTGGCTGATTTCATGGGCTGGCATTGAGTGTCTGTGGCTTGTCCAGACACATGGTGCAAGCTGTCAGTGGATGTCCCATTCTGGGGTTTGGAGGATGGTGGCCCTCTTCTCACAGTTCTACTAGGCAGTGCTTTAGTGGGGAACTCTGTATGGGGGCTCTGAACCCACATTTCCCTTCTTCACTGCCTTAGCACAGGTTCTCTATGAGGGCTCCACTGTGGACGCACATGCCTTTCCATACATCCTCTAAAATCTAGGTGGAGGTTCCCAAACTTCAATTCTTATATTCTTCCCACCCACAGGACCAATGCCACATAGAAGATGTCAAAACTGGGGGCTTGTACCCTTTGAAGCAACATTCTCAGTTGTGCCTTGGTGCCTTTTAGCCATAGCTGGAGCAGCTGGATGCTTTCTCGAGCCTGCACACAACAGCAGGATCCTGGACCCAGCCCAGAAAACCACTTTTCCCTCCTAGGCCTCCAGGCCTATGATGGGAGGGCCTGCCATGAAGGTCTCTGACATGCCCTGGAGACATTTTCATTATTGTCTTGATGATTAACATTCAGCTCCTTGTTACTTATGCAAATTTCTGCATCTGGCTTGAATTTTTCCCCAGGAAATGGGTTTTTCTTTTTTATCACATCATCAGGCTGCAAATTTTTCAAACTTTTATGCTCTGCTTCCTCTTGGACACTTCACCCCTTAGAAATTTCTTCTGCTAGAGACCCCACATAATCTCATTCAGGTTCAAAGTTCCACAGATCTCTAGGGCATGAACCAAAAGCGGCCAGTCTCTTTGCATAGCAAGAGTGACCTTTACTCCAGTTCCCAAGTTCCTCATCTCCATCTGAGACCACCTCAGCCTAGACTTCATTGTCCATATCACTGTCAGCATTTTGGTCAAAGGCAATCAACAAGTCTCTAGGAAGTTCTAAACTTTCCCACATTTTCCTTTCTTCTTCTGAATCCTCTAAACTGTTCCAACCTCTGTCTGTTACTCAGTTCAAAAGTCACTTCCACATTTCCAGGTGTCCTTATAGCGGCACTCTACCGGTACCAATTTATTGTATTAGCCCATTCTCATGCTCCTAATAAATACATACTCAAGACTGGGTAATTTATAAAGGAAAGAGATTTAAGTGACTCACAGTTCAGCATGGCTGGGAGGCCCCAGGAAGGTTACACTCATGGCAGAAGGGGAAGAAAACACATCCTTTTTCACATGGCAGCAGCAAGGAGAAGTACCAAGCAAAAGGGGGAGAAGTCCATTATAAAACCATCAGATCTTATGAGTAGTAACTCACATTCATGAGAACAGCATGAGGTAAACTGCCCCATGATTAAGTTACTCTCCCACTGGGCCCCTCCCACGACACATGGAGATTATGGGAACTACAATTCAAGATGAGATTTTGGCGGGGACACAGCCAAACCATATCATACACTAAGACAGCAACCATTATTGAACACCCTCCTCCTACTTCCAGGGGAATTATAGAGCTGGAGTCTTTCTTTCCTCTTTAATGTTTCTCCTTTTCCCATTTTGGAAGCCATTATTGACTAGGACATTAAAATCAATTGTGTATCTTGAAGAAATTAGAGAGTCACTGTGTATTCCCAGGGAAAGGTGCGGGCTCAAAAAAGACCTGAGAGGAACTTCAGTTTTCACCTCAGGATGAACCTTGAGATGTAATCAGACTACAACATTGGGGAATGGGGAGAATCCGATTTTCAGAGTTACCACATTGTTAGATTCAATCATCCAATTTTAACAACAACAAAAATTACAAAGCTTGCTAAAACAAAAAACAAGTAAAGGATGGATATTCAAAGGAAAAAAAAAATAAACCAATAGAAACTCTCAAAGAAAGAGCAGATGGTGGACCTATTTTAAAAAAAGTCTAGAAGATTTTATTTTTAAAGGGTATTTTGTGTATACCTACGTAACAAAACTGCACGTTCTGCACATGTACTCCAGAAGTTAAAGTATAATAAAAAAGAAAAAAGAAAAAAATATCTGTTGTTTAAAAGCAGCGATATGTTCTATCACAGTAGTGGAAGACATGAACCTGGACTCCCTGCAAATACTGCACCCAAAGTGAACCCCCACAATCTCTACAAAAAGGGTATTTTAACATTGTAAAAATATATTTTTTGGTAAATTATAGTTGGATATATTTATAGGGTAAAAAGTGAAGTTATCACTTTTTGATGCAATGCCAAATCATTAAATCAAGCAACTAACTTGCCCATCACCTCAAATATTTGACAGTTTTATGTGATGATAACACTTGATATGTGTTAACAATATTGCAATGTAAGTACCCAACTACTAGCTATATTCACTGTGCTGTGCAGTAGGTCTCAAAAAACATCAAACTTATTTCTCTGACATAACTGAAATTTTCTACCTTTTTATTTTCATTCCATTCTCCCTACCATACCCCCCAGACCCTGGTAACCACTATTCCACTCATTGTTTCCATGAGTTTGATTTAGATTCCACATATAAGTGAGAACCAGTAGCTCTTGTGTTTCAATGTTTGCCTTATTTCACTTAGCATAAGGTTTTCCAATTTTATCCATGTTTTCATAAGTTACAGAATTCTTTTATGGTTAAATATTATTCCATTGTGTATATTTACCACATTTACTTTATCCATTCATTTGGTGATAAACACTTAGGTTGATGTCATAACTCAGCTATTGTGAATAGCACTGTGATAAACACGGGTTTGCAGATGTATGTTTAACATACTGATTTCAGACCTCTCAGGTAAATACCCAGAAATGGGATTGCTGAATCACATATGGTAATTCTATTTTTAGTTTTTTGAGAAACTTTCATAGAGTTTTTCGTAATACTTGTACTAGTTTGCATTCCCACTTCCAATGTACAAGGGTCCCCTTTTTACCACATCCTTACCAACTTGTTATATTTTGTTTTTGTTTTGTTTTGATAAGAGACATTCTAACACATGTAAAGTAATATATCACTGTGGTTTTAATTTGCTTCTCTTTAATGATTAGTGATGTTGAGCATTATTTAATGTATCTGTTAATCATTTGTATATCTTCTTTTGAAATATGTCTATTTAGATAGTTTGTCCATTTCTTCATTGGATTATTTGTTTTTTCTTCTGTAGAGTTAAGTTCCTTATGTATTTTGGATATTAATTCCTTATCAAATGTATGGCTTGCAAATATTTTCTTCCAGTCTGTAGGTTATCTCTTGATATAATTTGAATATTTGTCCTCTCCAAATCTCAGGTTAGAAGTGGATTCTGCTGGGAAGTATTTGTGTTATGGAGGCAGATGCCTTATGGACCGGCTTTGGTACCCAACCCTTAGTAATGAGTGAGTTCTTCCTCAATTAGTTCACATGAGATCTGATTGTTTAAAAGTCTGGGACCTCCCTCTTTTCCTTCTCTCTTTCTTGCTCTGTCACTGCATGACACACTTTCTTCCCCTTTGCCTTTCTCTGTGATTGAAAGCTTCCTAAAGCCCTCACCAGAAGCGGATGCTGGTGACATGCTTCTTATATAGCCTTCAGAACTGTGAGTCAAATAAACTTCTTTTCTTTATAAATTACCTAGCCTCAGGTATGTCTTTATAGCAATAAAAATGGACTAATATATACTCTACTCTGTTAATATTTTCCTTTCTTATGGAGAAGGTTTTTATTCTAATGTAATCCCATTTGTCTATTTTTGCTTTTGTTGCCTACACTCTTGAGGTCAAAGCTAAATAAAAAATTATTGCCCAGACAAAGGTCATGTAGTTTTATCCCCTATGTTTTCCTCTAGTAGTTTTACAGTTTTAGGTTTTAGGTTTAAGTCTTTATGCTGACTGGCAGGATTGTCTTATGATAAAAATAGTCAGCAAATTAGCTATGGAAGAAATGTACTTCAATACAATAAAAGCCATAGAGAACAAACCAACAGCTTATGTAATACCCAGTGATGAAAAATTTGAATTTCTTTAAGATCCGAAACAGCAGAAGATGCCCATTGTCACCATTTCTATTTAACATAGTATTAGAAATCCTTGTCAGAGCATTTAAGAAAAGGAAATTAAAAGTATGCAAACAGGAAAAGAATAAGTAAAGTTATCACTGCTTTTAAAGTGTGTCCTTTCAACATGTTATAGAATTTGGCTTGCTAGTATTTTGTTGAGGATGTATGCATCTGTGTTCATTGAGAATGTTGGCCTATAGTTTACTTTTCTTTTGATGCCCTCATCTGGCTTTAGCATCAGGGTAATTCGGTCTCATGAAAAGAGTTAGAAAATATTCCTACCTCTTTGATTTTTTTGTAAAACTTTTTTTTTGAAAATTGGTATTAGTCATGTTTTGTTTTGTTAAGGGTTGGTAGAAGCTAGCAGTGAAGCCATCAAGTTCTTGGCTTTTCTTTCATGAAAAACATTTTCATTGCTGATTTAATCTCCTTAGTTATTGCTCTGTTCATACTTTCTTTTTCTTCATTATTCAGTTTTGGTAGGTTGTATATGTCTAGGAATTCATTTATTCCTGTAAGTTATTCCATTTTTTGATATACAATTACTCAGATTATTCTCTTAGAGGTTGAGCATCTCTAATTTAAACATCTGAAATCCAAACTTCTCAAACATCTAAAATTTTTGAGCACCAACATGATGCCACGAGTAGAAAATTTTACAACTGACCTTCTGTGATAGTTTGCAGTCAAAATGTATGTGCACTCACACAGTTTCTTTAGTGTCCCTAAGGGAAAGAAAATCTTCCAAGTCCCCTTCTCTCCTTCATCTATGATATATCTTTTCCATGTATCCTCGGATTTCCCCATACAAGCATAGCCACAAATACTAATAAAATATCAGTGTGCAGGCTAGATGCAGCAATGGAAGTTTCCCCAAATGCCACACAAGGGGCCAAGACATACATGCATTATTTGCTGTGGATTTTTGCTTGTTCTCTGCTCTGTGATGTAAAGATATTGCTAAAAATGTCAAAAAGATCTGTTGATACCACTATCAGTAACCACTAGAAGAAAAATAAGAAACGTTTGTGTTTATCGATAACACAGAAAGTAAGGCTGTTGGGAAGACTGGACAGTGATGTAAGTATGAAACATCATACAAAAGAGTATGGTATTGGGATGACCACCGTAGATGACTTGAAGAAAACAGAAAGATAAACTGTTAAATTTCTATGCTGAAATGATAAACAGGAGTTAATGAAAATTAAAAAAAATTGCATAAATCTAAAAAATCTTGATTATGTATTGAAAGAGTGAATCCATTTATGTTGCAGTGAACACATGCCACTTAATCATATGCTGATCATGAAGTAAGCAAACAAACAAATAGTGGACTGAAATTGAAGGGAATTGTGAATATTCAACAGGCTAGTTGTAGGAGTTTATGGGAAGACATGACATTACATTTTTAAAGTTTTGTGGCAATAAGGAATCTACTAATTATGAAGCACCAGAAAATATCATTGAGTAGTTTGCTAAGGTTATTATTGATAAAAATCTGATACTAGAACAGATCAATAATGCTGATAAAACATCACTGTTTTGATATTACTGCCCCAGAAATAGAATAACTATGGTTGATGAGATACCCCCTATGGGCATTAAGAATACTGAGAACAGAATATGCATGCTGAGATGTGCTAATGCAAAGCATGTATAAGTCTAAATGTGCTGTGATAGGCAAAAGCTGGAATCCTCACTCTTTTCAAGAAGTAAATTTTTACCAGTCCATTATTATTGCACAATGGCATGGATCATTATGAACATCTTTTCTCATGGGTTTCACAAATATTTTGTACCAGCAGCTCATGCTTTCTTCAGGGAAGCCAGACAACTGCAAGATTTTGTTACTCCTTTCTTCTGTTCTACTCATCCTCTGGCAAAAATTCTTACTAAAAATAACATTTATTCCATGTACTTTCCCTCAAAAATGACTTTTTAATTTAGCCATGTGACAAGGGTATCCTTAGATGAACAAAGAGTATGTAAAAAGAACACTATTTTTTGAGCAGCACAGGCAGCAGCAGTGAACAGAGGTGTGGATATGGAAGGTTTTCAAAAGGAGTTAAACATGTAGGGTGCCATATATGCTGTTGCAAACATTTTGAACACAGTGACTAAAGACATACTTGTGAATGTCTGATACAACCTCTGGCTATTACTATGTTCAGTGCTGATGATGAATGCGTGGTGGTGACTTTGAACGATTCCATATGTCAAGTAAGAAATAAAACAATGCCTGTCCTTTTTACATATGCAAAAATTATACCTTCTGAGTCTGTCAGCAAGTGGGAAGAAATGCATGTAGAAGAAGCTTAACATGCTCCAAGTAGGATGAACTCAAATAGACTAACACAGACACATTACAATCAAATTTTTAAAAGACAAAGAATCATGAAAACAGTGAGAGAGAAGTGCTTGTCATATACAAGGTCTCTGCACCAAGATTTTAAGCAGATTTCTCATTAGAAACATTAGAGGGTTAAAGGCAGTAGGCTGAAGTACGCAGCTACTATGAGGAAAAAAACTGTCAAACAAGAATCCTATATGCAGCAAAACTAAGAGGAAATTTAAGACATCCCTAGTCAATCAAAAGCTTAGGGAATTCATTACCAGAAGACATGTCCTATAAGAAATTCTAAAGAAACTCCTGCTAGTTGAAACATGAAGCCACACGAAGAAATAATGGTTTCAGTAAAGGTAAATATACAGGCAATTATCATAGCTAGCCTTATTGTAACAATGCTTTACAACTGCAATTTTAAAATTTTCTACGAAAGTTAAAACACTAATGGATTAAAACACAAGTATTAGTTTATTTTTTGGACACACACACAACATATAAAGATGTAATTTTGTGACATCTATGACTGAAAAAGGTAATTTTAATTCAAATTAGAATCTTATAACTTTAGAAGTTTAAGTGTGATCCTCATTATAGCCACAAAACTCTATAGAATAGACACTAACAAGAAATAAAAAAGAGATTCAAACATGTCACTATAAAAAGTCAACCAAAACCAAAAGAAGACAGTAATACATTAAACAACAGATAAAAAGTAAACTATAAGGCATATAGAAAACAAATAATAAAATAACAACTGAATTCTTCTATATCACTCTCCAAATGAAACACATAGATGGGATAAGTAAATTTTTTAAAGGACCCAATTATATCCTGCCTACAAGAGACTCACTTTAGAGTCGAAGACATTCTAGATTGAAAGTGAAAGAATGGAAAAAGATATTCCATGCAAATAGTAACCAAAAGAAAGGAGGGTTGAATACATTAATACGAGACAAAATAGACTTTAAGTCAAAATGGCTTATAAGAGACAAAGAAGAACACTATATGCTAATGAAAATTTCAGTACAGAAAGATGATATAACAATTATAAATATTTATGCTACTAATAACAGATCAGCAAAATATATTTTAAAAATTGACAGAATTGAAGGAAGAAATAGTACTGCAATATTAATTAAAGACTTCAATACCCCATTCTTAATAATGATAGAACAACCAGGCAGAAGGAAATAAATGACTCACACAACACAAAAGTCAAGTAGATCTAACAGATATATACCAAGACCCTCTACCAAACAGAAACAGAATGCACATTCTTCTCAAGTTTATATGGAAATTCTCCAGGATAAAGCATATATTAGACCACAAATTATGGATCAGTATATTTAAAAAGATAGATATCACACAAAGTATCTTCTCCATAAATTAAAGTTAGAAATCAATAAAAGAAGAAAAACAGGTAAGTTCACTAATTTGTGAAAATTAAATAAGATATACAACCTCTACCTGCTACCAAAACCTGGCAGAGACACAACAACAAAAGAAAATTTTAGGCCAATATCCCTGATGAACATTGATACAAAAATCCTCAATAAAATACTGGCAAACTGAATTCAGCAGCACATCAAAAAGCTTATTCACCATGATCAAGTCAGCTTCATCCCTGGGATGCAAGGCTGGTTCAACATATGCAAGTCAATAAATGTAATCCATCACACATAAACTGAAGCAACAACAAAAACCACATGATTATATCAATAGATGCAGAAAAGGCCTTCGACAAAATTCGACAGCCCTTCATGCTAAAAACTCTCAATAAACTAGGTATTGATGGAATGTATCTCAAGATATACAACCACTAGATCAAATAAAATAACACAAATGGAATTAGAAATTGCATAGAGTAATGAAAACAAAAAACACACATACCAAAACTTATAGAAGATGGTAAAAATAGTGCTAAAAACATTTATAGCTATAAATGCTTACATTAAAAATAAGAAAAATCTCAAATCATCAACCTAAGTTTACAACTTACAAAACTGGAAAAAGAAGCACAAACTATACACAAATCTGTCAGTAGAAGGAAATAATAAAGATTAGGGCAGAGATAAAATAAATAAACAATAGAAAAATACTAGAAAAGTTTAATTTAGCCAAAAGTTGATTCTTCAAGAACATCAACAAATTGACAAAACTTTAGCTAGATGGACAAAGAAAAAAACCGAAAGGCTACAATTATTAAATCACAAAGGAAAGTGGGGGCATTACTAAATAATCTACAGAAATAAAGAAATCTTTCATTCACTTTTTGATGAGATTTTTTTTTTCTTGTAAATTTGTTTAAGTTCTTTGTAGACTCTGAATATTAGTCCTTTGTCAGATGGACAGATTGCAAAAATTTTCTCCCATTCTGTAGGTTGCCTGTTCACTCTGATGATAGTTTATTTTGCTGTGCAGAAGCTCTTTAGTTTAATTAGATCCCATTTGCCAATTTTGGCTTTTGTTGCCTTGCTTTTAGTGTTTTAGTCATGAATTATTTGACCATGCCTATGACCTTAATGTTATCGCCTAGGTTTTCTTCTAGAGTTTTTATGGTTTTAAGTCTTACGTTTAATTATTTAATCCATCTTGAGTTAATTTTTGTATAAGGTGTAAGGAAGGGTTCCAGTTTCAGTTTTCTGCATATGGCAAGCCAGTTTTCCAACACCATTTATTAAATAGGGAATCCTTTCCTCATTGTTTGTTTTTGTCAGGTCAGATGGTTGTAGATGTGTGGCATTATATCTGAGGCCTCTGTTCTGTTCCATTGGTCTATATATCTGTTTTGGTACCTGTACCATGCTGTTTGTTTTGATTACTGTAGCCTTATAGTATAGTTTGAATTCAGGTAGTGTGATGCCTCCAGCTTTGTTCTTTTTGCTTAGGATTCTCTTGGCTATGCAGGCTCTCTTTTGGTTTCATATGAAATTTAAAGTAGTTTTTTTTTTCCAATTCTGTGAAGAAAGTCAATGGTAGCTTGATGGAGATAGCACTGAATCTATAAATTACTTTGGGCAGTATGGCCATTTGCACAATATTGATTCTTCCCATCCCTGAGCATGGAATGTTCTCCCATTTGTTTGTGTCCTGTTTTATTTCATTGAGCAGTGGTCTGTAGTTCTTCTTGAAGAGGTCCTTCACATCCCATGTAAGTTGTATTCCTAGGTATCTTATTCTCTTTGTAGCAATTGTGAATGGGAGTTTACTCATGATTTGCTTCTCTGTATGTCTATTATTGGTGTATAGGAATGATACAGACACTTCTCAAGAGAAGACATTTATGTGGCCAAAAAGCATATAGAAAAAAAAGCTCATCATCACTGGTCATTAGAGAAATGCAAATCGAAACCACAATGAGAAACCATTTCATGTCAGTTAGAATGGTGATCATTAAGAAGTCAGGAAACAACAGATTCTGGAGAGGATGTGGAGAAATAAGAATGCTTTTACACTGTTGGTGGGAGTGTAAATTAGTTCAACCATTATGGAAGACAGCATGGTGATTCCTCAAGGATCTGGAACCAGACATATCATTTGACTCAGCAATCCCATTACTGAGTATATACCCAAAGGATTATAAATCATCCTACAATGAAGTCACATACACCTATATGTTTATTGCAGCACTATTCACAGTAGTAAAGACTTGGAACCAACACAAATGCCTATCAATGATAGACTGGATAAAGAAAATGTGGCACATATACACCAAGGAATACTATGCAGCCATAAAAAGAATGCGTTCGTGTTCTTTGCAGGGACATGGATGAAGCTGGAAACCATCATTTTCAGCAAACTGCACAGGAACAGAAAACCAAACACTGCATGTTCTCACTCATAAGTGGGAGTTGAACAATTAGAACACATGGACACAGAGAGGGGAACATCACACACTGGGGCCTGTTGGGGGGTGGGGGGCTAGGGGAGGGATATCATTAGGAGAAATACCTAATGTAGGTGATGGGTTGATGGGTTCAGCAAAACACCATGGCACACGAATACCTATGTAACCTGCACATTCTGCACACATATCCCAGAACTTAAAGTATAATAATAAAAAAACTGGATAAGTGAGATGAAGTGGACAAATGTCTAGAAACATAATACCTCCAAAGAATTAACCATGAAGAAATCTGAACATAACTCTAGCCAGTAAGAAGAAGAAATTAGTAGTGAAACATGTTCCAATAAAGAAAACAATGGACCTGATGGCTTCCCTGGTGAATGTTAACAAACATTGAAAGAACTAATACCAATCCTCTCAAACTTTTCCAAAATATTGAGGAGGAAACACTTCCTAATTCAGTATGTGAGGCTAGCCTTGCCTTGGTACCAAGTGTGGTGTTATGATATATATTGGTTTTCATCTATGGTTCCTGGCTCATAACTCCCATAGCCCTTGTTACAATCTTCTGTTATAATGTTGGATGTATCAGTCTTCAGGGATAGGCCTCTGATCTTTTCCTAGCCTGATTTTACTATAATGTTCCCCAGCCTTTCTGATTGTGGGTCTTAAGAGCCTCCCATGAGAGGGTCTCACCCTAGTCGCTGGAGGAAGGAATGCTGACATCATCAAGCTTCCATAACAACCCGAGGACAGTGAGCTTCCAGATATCTGAACACATGGAGGTTCCTAGAGAGCTGTGTGCCCAAAGGGGGCATGGAAGCTCTGCACCCCTTACCCCATGCCTCACTCTACATATCTCCTCATCTCTATTCTTTGCAATATTCTTTATAATAAACTGGTAAATGTGTTTCCCTGAGTTCCATGAGCCACTGCAGTAAATTAATCAAACCCAAAGAGAGGATCATGGAAATCCCAATGTGAAGCTGGTTGGTCAAAATTTCCAGAGGCCCAGACTTGTGACTGGTGTGTGTAGAAGTGCAGTCTTGGGGACTGATCCCTCAATCTGTGGGATCTGACACTCTCTCTCTGGGTAAATAGTGTTGGAATTGAATTGGAGGACACACAGCTGGTGTCCACTCCTTGGTGTGTAGGGAATCCCCCCCAACACATTTGGTCACAGAAGTCTTCTTCTGTGTTCATGATTGTTGTGGTGTGAGAGCAGAGGAAAATCGTGGTTTGAGGAGAGTTTTTCCCTACACATCATGCCAGGTAAAGACATGACAAGAAACTAAAACTTGATATCTTTGATGAACATTGATGCAAAATCCTCAACAAAATGCTAGCAAACAAAATGCAGCAGGATATTAAAAGGGTTACACACCATGATCAAGTGGGATTTATTCCTGTAATGTAAGGCTGATTCAACCTAAAAAATTGATCAATATGACATACCACATTAACAAGAAGAAGGAAAAAACCCACATGATCATCTCAATTGATATAGTAGAAATTTCAAAGTTCAACACCCTTTATAATAAGAAGACTGAACAAACCAAGAATAAAAGGAAATTACCCCAATGTAATAAAAGCCATATATGAAATATTCATAGGGAACATCATAATCAATGGTGAAATACTGAAAATAAACAATTTATCTGATAAGAAATTAATACGCAGAATATATAGAGAATTGCTAAAACTTAAGAACAACAACAGCAAAATTCTGATTCAAAAGTTGAATGGACATTTCTTCAAAGATCTACAAATGGCCAAGAAGCATATGAAAAGATGCTGAACATCATTAATCACTAAAGAAGTGTATATTAAAACCACAATGAGATATCACCTCACAACCATTAGAATGGCTACTCTTTAAAACACACACCACACACACACACAACAGCAAATAAGTTTTGGTGAGGATGAAGAGAAATTGAAATCTTCGTGCAATGTGCACTGTTGGTGAGAATGTGTTTTTATAGTGCATCCACTATGGAATACAATATAGCAGTTCCTGAAAAAATTAACAATTGAATTACCATATGATCCAGCAATTCCAATTCTAGGTATATGCTCAAAAGAATTAAAAACAGGGTCTCAGGAAGATATGCATTCCCCATGTTTATATCAGCATTAGTCACAACAGTGAAAGCATTGAAAAAACTGACCATTTATATCAGCAGAGGAAAATAGGGTATAGAAATATGATGAAATATTACACCTTAAAAATGAAGAAAATTCTGGCATATACTACAACATATATGAACCTTAAGTACATTAGTCTGAGTGAAAAAGCCAGTTATGAAAACACAAATACTCTATTATTCTACTTATATGAGGTACCTAGAATCATCAAAATCATAGAGACAGAAAACAGAATTGAGGTTGCCATTCATCATTATGATTTAGTGGATATAGAGGTTTAGTTTTTCACCATAAAGAGTTCTGGAGAGGGATGATGAGAAGATGCACGACAATAGAATGTACTTAACACCACTGAAAATACGTTAAAAATGATTAAAATAATAAATTTTACATAGTATGCATTTTACCACAATAACAAAAAGAGAGAGTGAAGAGTGGTCAAATTGTATGCTACTTAATATCTGAAACTTCAAAAAAGCAAGAATTCAAAAGCAGAATATCGAGGGTGTTTATCCCAATAAAAAGTCATCATCCTCTGCTTAGTTCCCAAACTCGAGTCAACTTTTATTTCCAGGTTCATTGACTAAAGATGTGTTTGGGCTTTGTGAAGGAAGGACCCTACAATACCTTAATAAGTATACACCATAATAATTCCTTCAGTCCATCCCCAAAGGGACCTACAGTCACTTAACTGTAGAATGAGAGCAGCCAGACTGTAGGATACAATATTTGATTTGATGTTGGTGCCTCAAGAACAATGAGCAAAATGTTATTATGTCCCACTGCTAAAATAATAACTAGAGCCGGATAAACAATGAAGTCTTGGCTAAAGGCCAGTTCACAGTGGGTTTACTGAATTCATAAATCCACATAGTGGTCATTTCTCTAATCCATGATGTATAATTGAAATTAATGTGCTTGAAAGTTGTAGTAACACTCACATTAGGTTCCTTATCTGTGGAGCAGAGCTATCATAGTGGGGAACACCATGTGGGAGTCTCTAAAACACACTCCATCACACACACACACACAAGTGCACACACACACATGCACATACACAACCAAATAGTATCATCAATAACAATATTGTTTCCTGGGAGAGATTAGTTCTATTATTAAAGGCCTAAATAATGCAGGAGAGGTGACTCCTGTTATAGCTGCATTTAATTTGCCAGTCTAGCCCTTGAAAAAATAAGATCCTGTAGAATGACTGTGGATCACAGCGGGATCATTTAAGTAATAATTCCAATGACAGCTGGTATCAATGCACAAGTAAATTAATAAAACCACAGATGTCAATTTTATGATGATTGGTTTGGCAAATGTATTTTCTTTAATCTCCATTAAAGAAGAATGGAAACAGGGAGTTGGTATTGAATAGACAACACTTATTTATAATGTTTGCTGATGGCCATTTTTATTCTCTTGTCCTCTATCAAAATATAGTTTACAGAGGTCTATATCATCTGGATAGCCTACACTGCACTGATTCTTTACATCTATGGTTTCGTACTGATTGCATAAGATGAGCAAGTGCTGGTTTGACACTGGATGGATGCCTTGGTAAGATATGTGTGCTCTAGAAGATGGAAGACAAATCTTATGAAGATTCAAACACCTGATGCATCAGTGAAATTTTTAGTGGTCCAATGGTCAGTTGCAACTTTCAATTCAAAGGAATCTCTCTTATGTTTTCTGGTGAAAGCATTTTGCCCTTCGGTTTAAAACTTCTAAACTCACAAAGACACCAAATATTTGGGACAGGCAGCAGTTTTTGTTTTTGCATGTTGAAGATTTTGATGAAATAATAATAAATATATTTTCCCCCTTTCACTTTGATTTTCAGCAGTGAGTTTTGTCTATGTTGCTTAACCTAAGTTTAAATATCTCTGATAGAAAATTCTCTAATCTTGTTCCTTCCGCATACCTGAATATCCTGTCAAACCACTTGTTATCATTCATGAATTACCATTGACCATTAGTATTAGTCAGAATATAGCAGAATACACTAAGAAAAAAAAAATCTTACCATCTCAATTACTTAACAGAACAAAGATTTCCTTTTTGTTTTGTTTTTAGATGGAGTCTTGCTCAGTCACCCAGGCTGGAGTGCAGTGACATGATCCCTGCTCACTGCAACCTCTGCCTTCAGGGTTCAAGCAATTCTCCTGCCTCAGACTCCCAGTAGCTGGGATTACAGGTGCCCACCACTATGCCTGGCTAATTTTTTTTGAATTTTTAGTAGAGATGGGGTTTAACCACGTTGGCCAGGCTGGACTCGAACCCCTGATCTCAAATCATTTGCCTGTCTCAGCCTTCCAAAGTGCTGGGATTATAGGTGTGAGCCACCGCGCCCGGCCAAAGGTTTCCTTTTTATTCCTGTTACAGATACAGAGCATAGTATGGTGAATATACAAGCAGGGGCTCTGCTACAAAAATCACTTGGAACCACACACTGATGGAGGCTTTATTGTCTTATATCTGTACCATTTGAAACATGAGTCTTGCTCAATTGCTGCAGCAGGAGAAAGAAAGCTGAAGGACTATGTTAACATTCCTTACTCTGTTTCATAGCCTTTGGTCAGATGTCATTACATTACATCATCATTTATCTCTAACTACAGGAGATTGAAAAAATATAAGACAACAGATAAAGTGTGTGGAAAACACCAAACTATTACAGGATTAATTCTCCTGGACAAAGAATAGTTCCTTTCAAATTGTAGCTGCTGACAAGATTTCCCATCTCTACGGTTCTTCAGGGAAAAATCCCTAAAGTATGACTGCCATAGCAGTTCACTTTCTATTGGTACCAGTATATCTTGCAGAGCCATCTCTTATTAAGGGTTAACATTTTTCTCTGGAAAGAAATTGGTCATAGGTAACTTCTTTAGTAAAGTGATAATACTGATAAAATAGGAACAAAAGGAAGGTGAACCATCTACTCACAAACTTATTTGTGATATCATGACCCCCAGAGGGCATACCTTGACATTCCAAAGCACACTTTTACTGTATTATTCCTTTTTATCTATGTTACTGGTTTATGTATTTAATATACTATACTTTAAAAATATTATTTTGGAGTATACTCCTATTTTAGAGTGTACTCCTTATATAACTGTGTATAAGTTAACTGTAGAACAGCCTTAGGCAGGTCCTTCAGAACATATTCCAGAAGAAAGCATTGTTATTATAGGAGATAAGAATTCCATGAATGTTATCGACACTGAAGACCTTCCAGTGGGACAACATGTGAAGTTGGAAGGCAGTGATACTAATAGTCCTGACTGTGTTTAAGCCTAGGCTAATTTGTATGTTTGTTTCTTAGTTTTTAACTAAAGAAGGTAGAAAGCAGAAAATAAAATAATTTAAAAATAGAAAAAAAGCTTATAGAATAAGGACATAGAGAAAGAACATATGTCTGTACACCTATACACAGGTTTTAAGCTAAGTGTTATAAATAAAAATGTTTTTTAAAATTATAAAGTAAAAATGTTACAGTAAGCTAGTTAACTTATCATTGAAAAAATTTTTAAATGACTTTAGTGTAGCCTAATTGTGCAGTGTTTATAAAGCCTGTAGTAGCATGGAGTAGTATCCTAGGTGTTCAGGTTCACCCACCTCTCACTGACTCACCCAGAGAAACTTTTAGTCTTACAAGTTCCAGTCATGGTAAGTGCCCTAAGTGGGTGTGCCTCTTTAAAAAACAAAAACAAAACAAAAAAAAAAAAACACTTTTTATACCATATTTTTACTAGACCTTTTCTATGTTTAGATATTTTTAGAAATATGAGCCATTACTATTGCTTATTATTGCCTACAGCATTCAGTACAGTAACATACTGAAAAGATTTGTAGACTAGCAGCAATAGGCTATACCATACAGCCTAGGTACGTAGTAGGCTACATCATCTGGATTTGTGTAGGTATATTCTATGAGGTTTGCGCAGCAGTGAAATTGCGTAATGATGCATTTCTCAGAATGTATCCTCATCATTAAGTGATACGTGACTATACAACACTTAAAACAGAGTTTAGAGTATACAAATAAATCAACAAAATTAAATCATAGAGATTATATTTATCATGTCACTATTTAGTTCATGATTTATGTAACAATTGAGCAAAAAAATCATAAAACATCAAATTGCCTAATATAGTTGCTTTAGTAACTTTTAAAAACAGAAGACACCCTTCCATTCCCATTCACCTATAATTGGTTTGAATGTCAAGACTAATGGTTGCACACAATCACCAAGAAGTTAAAATGAGGCTAAAATGAGGCTAAAATTCTTGGAAAATGAGGGTTTCTGGGTAGAGCAGAGCAAGCACCAAAGCACCAAAGCACTAAAAACAAGAGAGCACAGTGGCAAGTGGCTTGGGGTTTTATGTGATTGGGAAATGGGGTTGTGTTGAGGGTTGCCTCACATGGCTAGGATTTGCATGGTTTGAATTTCCTGTCAGTGCCAAAGGAAGGAAAACCAAGGTATCCTTAGCAATTTTCACAGATGCAGACAAAAGAGAAATTGGGAAATGTAGGTACTGAAAGCTGTCAGCAGTCAAACATCTAAACCAAAGTCAGGTTATTTATGGGATATGTACAATGAATTCAAGACTTTGTGCAAGTACACCAGCATCAATAAATTTAGACTCGCATAAAATATTCTCCAAAACTTGTTAACTGTATATATAGTAATAATTATTGCTATATACTGTTTATTAAGTAAGAAATTTGACAGAGTGGTCCATATAACAGACATTAAAATCAAAGTTTAGCAAAATAAAGTCATTTGTTTGAGATTAATAATACTAAAAAGTAGTAAATGACAGAGTAAGAATATGGAACAAGGTGGTCAAATTCCAAAATTTACAAACTTGTTATTGTGACATACTGCTTTAGTAAACAAGCTGCATATCACAAAATTATGAAATTATAATCCAGAAGAAAATAATATTTTAGCTGAGATAGTAAAAACAACATTATTGTGATTAATAAGCAAATGAAAAGGTAACACTTTTATTTAAATTTAAATTAAATAAAAATAATAATTATAAACATGGTAATAGTACTAATAGTGATCAATCACTTGGGGTAACACATTATACAATTCACATTTTAATCCTGAACTGTTGAGTTAAAAATGATCCTTTCATTACCAGATAAAAACTGACGCATAAAAAAGCAAACCTTCAAAGTCATATCAGTTCTCTTAAAGACAATTATTTTTTAAATATTTAATATATGTATCACATACTTATTAAAGATTAGTACATTTTTCTCTAACATAAGAGTTATTATTGTCAAAATTCTGCTTTCTGCACTCTATGTTAGAAATGTAATCTGAAGTAATATACAGCAAATAAACCCATCTAAGGCCAGGCGCAGTTGCTCATGCCTGTAATCCCAGCACTTTGGGAGGCCTAGGCAGGCAGATCACTTGAGGTCAGGAGTTCAAGACCAGCCTGCCCAAAATAATGAAACCCTGTCTCTAATAAAAATACAAAAATTAGCCAGGCATGGTGGCATGCACCTGTAATCCCAGACACTTGGGAGGCTGAGGCAGGAGACTCGCTTGAACCCAGGAGGTGGAGGTTGCAGTGAGCCAAGCATGCATGTGTAATTAAAAAATGGCTATTTTTATTCTGCTAGAACTGAATTTCTAATTTTTTAAAAAACATAAAATAAATGTCCATATATATTTCATCACTTGCACCTGATGGGGCTTTCTTATATTTGATAAACATAATTATAACTTGGGTAGGTAGCAGGAAAATAAAGAATGAAAAATAATAATAAAATATAGGTTGGCTTCTATTCCCTAAAACAATTTATTTACTGGTTTAATAATATAAATGAATCTGGAGGCAAAATTTTGACTAACAGGATTTTCTACTAAGAAAAACAAGTATTTTATTCAAATAAATTGGAATATATATTTATTTACTTTTCACTCTAAAACCTTTGACTCTAAAACCTTTAAGCAGAATAGAATAGGTATTTACAAGAGCAATGATAAACTTAAGTAATAGTTAAGAAATGAAATAATTGCTTTAGGTACTATCTCATTCCGGTTAGGTCAACGTTCTTTCTCTTATGTAAGAGGAAGTAACTGAAGCAATTATTTCATTTCTTAAATTTCTTGAAATATTTAACAATATTTTCTAAATCTAAAAATGACTATATCAAATCTCCTAGAAGACATCACTTGAGCTAAGACTCAAAAATTCTATAGATTAAATCAATAAATATTATTTCAGTTTATCATTGGTTTTGTAAATACCAATTCAAATCTGCTTGAAGGTTTTAGAGTCAAAAGTAAATGAATATATATTCCAATTTATTTGAATAAAATACTTCTTTTTTGGCTAGGCATGGTGGCTTATACCTGTAATCCCAGCATTTTGGGAGGCCGAAGTGGGCAAATCACGAGGTCAGGAATTCAAGACCAGCCTGGCCAACATAGTGAAACTTCATCTCTACTAAAAATACTAAAATTAGCTGGGCATAGTGGCGCATGCCAGTAGTCCCAGCTACTCAGGAGGCTGAGGGAGGAGAATTGTTTGAACCCAGGAGGTGGAGGATGTAGTGAGCCAAGATTGCACCACTGCACTCCAACTTGGACAACAGTGAGACTTGTCTAAAAAAAAAAAAAAAAAAAAAAAGACTTCTTTTTATTAGTAGAGAATTCTGTTCTGTTAGGCAAAATTTTGCCTCTGAGTTAATTTGTACTATTAAACCAGTAAATAAATTATTTGAGGAAATAGAAGACAACTTATATTTTACTATTATTTTTCAGTCTTTATTTACCTGATACCTACCTAAGAATTAGTCCCTGGCCTTGAAACCAAATGGAGTTTCCATGGCTGGATTTAACAATTATTTTAAACTGTTGATTCATATTTTCTTTCATTTTTCCACCCTTTAAAATAAAAATGTTTATAATTGGTGTATGTTTTTCAAATCCTTGTGTTTTAAAAGTAGATATCTTTTTTCTTGAAATTCACAATTAATAGATGGAGAGAAACTTTGACCCAAGATGGTATATACTCATAATCTCAACCATACTTTACTTAGATTATGAAATTAGGGATTTTTGAACTAATGTAAGTTATGACATGTTATTTTGGATTTTTAGTTGATGCTATAATGGGATGAGATCTTTGGGGATGTTGGAACAGGGAGAATATGTTTTAGTATGTGGGAAAGATATGAATCTTTAGAAGCCAAGGGCAGACTGTGGTAGGCAAAATACTGTCTTCAAATCCAACTCCCCAGAATCTGTGATATACGCTAAATTACATGCCAAGGGGGATTAAGTTTGCATATGGAATTAAGGTTACTGATTTGTTGACCTTAAGACAGGAAAATTATCCTTGAGCCAGAAAATAAATAAATAATAAATAAAATCCTGCCAGCCTCTACATGCTAAAGAGCACAAATAAGTAGATTGTCTCCTAGAGCCTCCAGAAAGGAATGCAGTCCTGCTTTCATTAAACTTGTGCTAATTAAAATTGCAAATAGTAATTGATATATTTATTTTAGCCTAATGAGACACATTTTATATTTCTGACCTCCAGATGTGTGTTAAATCAGTAAATTTGTGGTAATTTGTTACAGCAGCCATAGAATACTAGTACAACACTCTACTCCAAACAAAAATGCTTCAGAAAGTCAAAACTACAGCTCATTACTTTTTTAAAAAGTAAATTATTAAAGTAGAATGTATTTATTTATCCTTAATTGAGAAATAAAATTTGCTCATTCACAATTATATCTTTGTACCTTATTAAATTTCAGATGTCAAGTTTAACACATGTTTCTGGGTTGCTTCAAACATAAATCATAAACTATTAACCATGTAAGAATCATCTTAAATTTGAGTTATTATAATCTAGGTTATTCAAATGATTTATCTTTGATATGAGTTTCCACATAGAAATAGTAAAATATAAATAATAGGAGTGAACTAAATTTACTATTATTTTATGTTTAAGGAAATATATACCAGATAAGACTAATAAAACAGAAAGGTAAAGGAGAACATTTTTATATGTTTACTGATTTTTACACATTGCACTAGTTTTTTTTGTGTACTATAAGTAAACATGCTGCAATTCCTATGAAAATAAACTTGTGCTTAATGAAAATTGCAAATAGTAATTGATATAATAAAATAAAAACAAGAAAGTGTTTTGGTGACACAAACAAATAAGGAATAAATATTTTGAACATACAGATTTAGAAATTTATGCTAGGTTTACATAGGTTATCTACTTTCTATAATTTCATACAGATATACAGGGAATGATTTGTAAAAAATAGATAAAACATTATTTTAAAAATATCTGTCTCCTTTGGGAGAACTAGATTATTCCACATATTTGAAAATAATATAGATAGCTAAAAGGTCCTCTTCTTTATCCTCTTCCCTAATTCCTTTGCATTGCTAACTCATACATGTCTCCAAAGGTCCTATCAATTGAGGTTTCATCTCATTCAGAAAGCTTTCCCACAACCCTTTGTGAATAATTACTAAAATATCCAGACACCACCTAGTCAACCAATAAAACACTCTTCATGGTCTCAGAACTCCATCCTGGACAACTTGGAATGAGATCAGTGGCCATCCCTAAGCCATTAATTTGTGGTGTTCAAATACAAAATATTTCCAGAACAGAACACCCAGGTGCAGATTGCAACAGTCCAACCGACACACTGCTATTTATTGTAGGACACTCTGGAATACTCTATTAATGTTATGTGTCATTAATATCACCATGTAGTGGGAGTCTCATTTAGGTTTTAGTTGTCCTTTAGGTACCCAAGAATTAGGAAGTGGGAAAGATACCAAGAGTTACAAAGCTACAATGTAGAGAACAAGGTCCATACAATTCTCCCTCTGTTTTCTTTTCTGCTCTTATACTTGCATCCTCAAGTAGTCAGGAAGTCTAGACTGCGTTTCATTCCAGATATGATTGTCAGTTGCTTACCACACTATGGACATGACCACCATCTGTGCCTTGCCTCATCAAATTGCATTTGCAATGAACTTCAAATAGAACATAAGCCTGGGGTAATGACATGTGTTTGTAGTCCAAGCTACTTGGGAGGCTGAGGTGAATCTTGAACCTATAGTTCAAGTGACCATCAAGAGACCAACCTGGGCAATACAGTGAGGACCTATCTCTTAATAAATTTAAAAAATTACATATATAGTGCAATACACAGATCTTAAATATAATTTGAATAAATTTGACAAGTGAACGTATCCTTGCATTCAAAACCCTCATCAAAGCCAGAAAGCTTTTTTTTTTCTGTAAGTTGTACTTTTTATTTAAAATTTAAGCTTTTGCAATTAAGTCTTTGGCCAATTGTGAATTACCTTTTGCAGGTGCTGTGAGAGAGGCATCAAAATTATTTTCTCTCCTCACATATTTACCGAATTTGTTGTAAGAATTTCCTTTCTGAATTATATTACTATGACAGCTTGTTGAAAATCAATTGACCAAATAAATAGAGGTTTAGTTCTGAGCTTTCTAACTTGTTCCATTGATCTTATTGTCTTTCCATAGGGCAAAATCATGCAATCTTTATTAATAAAACATTATGGAAAGACAGAAAATCAATAACATGAGTATTCCACCATTTCTTTTCTTTTTTTCAAGATTGTTTTAAGATTGTGTATATGCTTTGGACCTTCGTAATATTGAGTCAACTAATATATTTCTACCAAAAAAAAAGTCTGCTAAGATTTTGACTGGAATTGTTTTGAATATGTAGATCAATTTGGGGGAAACTAGCATCTTAATATTGAGTCTTTGAATCTGTGACTGTACTGTATTTTTTAGATATTCTTTAATTTATTTTATCATTGTTTTATAGTTTATTATGTAGAAGTCTTAAACATTTTTTGTTGAATTTATTCCTAAGAACTATAATTGTTATGCTATAATAAATGCTATTTTAAAATTTTATTATCTAATTATTTGGTTATCATATATAAAATCACAATTGATAATACATTCTGATCCTATAACCTGAAGTATTCCTGATCCCCTAGTATGACTAGTTATAGTAGTCATCTTGTAGATTCCTTAGACTTTTTAATATAAGTAATCATATAGTCTTTTAATAATGAGAGTATTACATTTTCCATTTCCAATCTTTATGCTTTTTATTTATTTTCTTGTTTTATGGCACTGGCTATGATCTGCAGTAAATGCCTAAAAGAATGTGTGAAAGTGCACATTTTTGGCATCTATCTTATTTTAGTTTAATCATGCAATATTTCTTAGGATTATAAGAAAATGTTCTAAACCTAATATAAGGTGTTTATTGGAACAGTTGACAGTTTCAGTAAATACCCATTAACCTGAAGCAATTGCTTTAGTGCTTTTGAAGTAATTCCACTGGCAATACTCCTCTCGTCTTTTGTTTACCTGAAAATTCCCTTAATTCACATTCTCACTTTTATCGTTGTAATTTCTATTGTTACAGTTTCTCTTTAATTTTTCCTTTAGATGTGTTTTTCATGAGAGTGGCCATATGCCAAGAAAGCCATTCTCTATGAGAGCCCTGACTGAGAAAGCTAGGATTGTGTGCGGTCAGGTAAGAGACGATAGAAAAGTAAAAACAGAATAAATGAAAATGAAACAGAAGAAATGTACTACTTACATGTCCCAGTTAGGTTAGGGGGTTGAGAGGAGGCTGAAGGGACGTTTGAAGGCAGCAACAAGCTCAACCAGCAGGTAGTGTGTGTGTGTGTGTGTGTGTGTGCATAATAGAGAGAGAAAGAGAGAGAGAGAGAGAGGAGTAAAAGGAAGCAAACCAGTGGGACTACATCTTTATTAATGTCCATTAATTATCCCTTAGGCTTTCTCTCTGAAGCTGTCAATTGACTAGTTTAAAAAAATCACACGTGAAGAGAGGAACTTATTTACATTGCTTTGATCAACTCCAAGTCATGGGGATATGTTGAGATTTGGGTTAGTCAGATGAGGGATAAGTTGGCTATAACCACACAGACAACCACACAGAGAAGGGAAGTTTTAACAGGGCAAAGGTGATGGGGTATGATTGAGTTTCAAACAATTTATGTAGTCCCACAAATTACTGATCAACACTAGTGATCCCTTTATTCAATAAGCTCGAAAGCTTCAATCTACATCTTGAGAATGATTTGTTTGAGCAGGTCTGGGTTCCCTCTACCCATAGTTTAGTGACAGTCTTCAAAATATCCTTTGTCCTTCTTTTCTTTATTAACTTTTCTGTCTTCTAGTGTTCTCAACAGCATGGCACTTCCTAGACACAAAGCCCTTACTGACTCAAGTAGAATAGATTGCTGACTTAAATTCCATGGAGGTCACCTCTTGGGCTTGCTATAGTTGTGAATCAGTCTCTTTCACTACATTTCACGCTGTGGTAAAGGCTTCAACCCAAACTTTTTAATCATAACAGGGAAGGACAGCTGGTATTCCCCAACTACAAGTTCTGAGTTAGCAGAAAAGCATGGCCAGAGACCACAGACTGCCTGTTAACTGCTGTTATCTTTTCAGCAGAGGAGTCAATGCAGTTTAAATGCCCCGCAATTGAAGGGTCAGGATACCTTTAATGGATTCTTACTGCTGGGCCTGCTAGACTTTTGTGCACTGAGATGATGGAACACTACACTTACTTCTGCCACTATCTATTATTTTTTCCTCATAAAATTTAGTCCAGCCAGCCTTTTGTGTGGGCTGCTTGGCCACTCATTGTTATTTGCTTGATATTCTCAAACTTTGGTTCTTATATTGAAATGAAATTTTATGCTGTTCTCAGAAAGGTAAAGAAAATTGATGTATATTTAGTTAAGTGGCTCATATCTCCTATCCCCAATCTAACAAAATATTGATGTTACATGATAAAGTAGATGGCATCTTAGCACAGAGAAATAATGTGCCGTGCAATATTTCAAACAATCAAAGTAACCAACTTAGTCTTAAAAACCAAAAAGCATTCAAGAACATTCACATGGTACTTACTCTATACATCAAGATAATCCCCAAGGTGGTCATTGCCATTATTTAAGAGAAAATGTTTTAAATGTAATTGCTTTTTCTATCAGATAATCATTTATGATACCTGGCAGTGTGTGGTATCCATTAAGTTTTATACTGTTGAGTATGATTTTATCACATTTTGAAAGAATATTTTTCCTGAACATAGAACCCAATTTTTCCTTTTAATGGCTGTTTTTGCTTGAAAAGTTGGTCATCAATTTATTTAAGGAGAATTGTTGTTTCATATTCCTTTGGCACAACATAAAGCTTAATAGAAACTGAAATGTCAAGAATATTACAAAAGTACTTCATACTTGTTTCAACTGTAGAATTAGCTATTTACTTAATTATGGCTTTATCAATCATAAAATACTCCATGTTTCTAATATAAACACCTCAATGAATAGTAGAGTGAACAGCTTTTGCTCTTACATGCAGAGTTTTTCTGTGACTGGAGATAAACATGAGATCTACCTACATTGAGAAATGTGATTTAATCAGCTAAATATTAGCATAGGTAGAGCCGAATTTTGCTTTTACTGTGATATGCCTATGCATCAAAAAATAATAGAGTTGTAATAACAAGTTTCTTTATTGTTTTCCTATTTATACATTATTTTTTGGCAGGAGAAGAAGTAAAAATTAGTAGACAGGCAATGGAGATCAAAGTATGTGCATGTAGGACAATTTTGAATAATTAAAACAGGAAATGTGAATGTGCTCATTAAAAGAAATTCAACAACATAATGTCAGTAGGTTCCATATACAAGTGTTATGTACAATAATTTAGGTTATGAGAGTAAAATTTAACATTTAAAAATATTTTAAAATATTTTCTTTTTTTTAATTTATTTATTATTATTATACTTTAAGTTTTAGGGTACATGTGCACAATGTGCAGGTTAGTTACATATGTATACATGTGCCATGCTGGTGCGCTGCACCCACTAACTCGTCATCTAGCATTAGGTATATCTCCCAATGCTATCCCTCCCCGCTCCCCCCCACACAACAGTCCCCAAAGTGTGATGTTCCCCTTCCTGTGTCCATGTGTTCTCATTGTTCAATTCCCACCTATGAGTGAGAATATGCGGTGTTTGGTTTTTTGTTCTTGCGATAGTTTACTGAGCATGATGATTTCCAGTTTCATGCATGTCCCTACAAAGGACATGAACTCATCATTTTTTATGGCTGCATAGTATTCCATGGTGTATATGTGCCACATTTTCTTAATCCAGTCTATCATTGTTGGACATTTGGGTTGGTTCCAAGTCTTCGCTATTGTGAATAATGCCGCAATAAACATACGTGTGCATGTGTCTTTATAGCAGCATGATTTATAGTCCTTTGGGTATATACCCAGTAATGGGATGGCTGGGTCAAATGGTATTTCTAGTTCTAGATCCCTGAGGAATCGCCACACTGACTTCCACAATGGTTGAACTAGTTTACAGTCCCACCAACGGTGTAAAAGTGTTCCTATTTCTCCAGATCCTCTCCAGCACCTGTTGTTTCCTGACTTTTTAATGATTGCATTCTAACTGTTGTGAGATGGTATCTCATTGTGGTTTTGATTTGCATTTCTCTGATGGCCAGTGATGGTGAGCATTTTTTCATGTGTTTTTTGGCTGCATAAATGTCTTCTTTTGAGAAGTGTCTGTTCATGTCCTTTGCCCACTTTTTGATGGGGTTGTTTGTTTTTTTCTTGTAAATTTGTTTGAGTTCATTGTAGATTCTGGATATTAGCCCTTTGTCAGATGAGTCAGTTGCGAAAATTTTCTCCCATTTTGTAGGTTGCCTGTTCACTCTGATGGTAGTTTCTTTTGCTGTGCAGAAGCTTTTTAGTTAAATTAGATCCCGTTTGTCAATTTTGGCTTTTGTTGCCATCGCTTTTGGTGTTTTAGACATGAAGTCCTTGCCCATGCCTATGTCCTGAATGGTAATGCCTAGGTTTTCTTCTAGGGTTTTTATGGTTTTAGGTCTAACGTTTAAGTCTTTAATTCATATTGAATTGATTTTTGTATAAGGTGTAAGGAAGGGATCCAGTTTCAGCTTTCTACATATGTCTAGCCAGTTTTCCCAGCACCATTTATTAAATAGGGAGTCCTTTCCCCATTGCTTGTTTTTCTCAGGTTTGTCAAAGATCAGATAGTTGTAGATATGTGGCGTTATTTCTGAGGGCTCTGTTCTGTTCCATTGATCTATATCTCTGTTTTGGTACCAGTACCATGCTGTTTTGGTTACTGTAGCCTCGTAGTATAGTTTGAAGTCAGGTAGTATGATGCCTCCAGCTTTGTTCTTTTGGCTTAGGATTGACTTGGCGATGCGGGCTCTTTTTTGGTTCCATATGAACTTTAAAGTAGTTTTTTCCAATTCTGTGAAGAAAGGCATTGGTAGCTTGATGGGGATGGCATTGAATCTGTAAATTACCTTGGGCAGTATGGCCATTTTCATGATACTGATTCTTCCTACCCATGAGCATGGAATGTTCTTCCATTTGTTTGTATCCTCTTTTATTTTGTTGAGCAGTGATTTGTAGTTCTCCTTGAAGAGGTCCTTCACATCCCTTGTAAGTTGGATTCCTAGGTATTTGATTCTCTTTGAAGCAATTGTGAATGGGAGTTCACTCATGATTTGGTTCTCTGTTTGTCTGTTGTTGGTGTATAAGAATGCTTGTGATTTTTGCACATTGATTTTGTATCCTGAGACTTTGCTGAAGTTGCTTATCAGCTTAAGGAGATTTTGGGCTGAGACAATGGGGTTTTCTAGATATACAATCATGCCATCTGCAAACAGGGACAATTTGACTTCCTCTTTTCCTAATTGAATACCCTTTATTTCTTTATCCTGCCTAATTGCCCTGGCCAGAACTTCCAACACTATGTTGAATAGGAGTGGTGAGATAGGGCATACCTGTCTTGTGCCAGTTTTCAAAGGGAATGCTTCCAGTTTTTGCCCATTCATTATGAAATTGGCTGTGGGTTTGTCATAGATAACTCTTATTATTTTGAGATATGTCCCATCAATACCTAATTTATTGAGAGTTTTTAGCATGAAGCGTTGTTGAATTTTGTCAAAGGTCTTTTCTGCATCTATTGAGATAATCATGTGGTTTTTGTCTTTGGTTCTGTTTATATGCTGGATTACATTTATTGATTTGCGTATATTGAACCAGCCTTGCATCCCAAGGATGAAGCCCACTTGATCATGGTGGATAAGCTTTTTGATGTGCTGCTGGATTCGGTTTGCCAGTATTTTATTGAGGATTTTTGCATCAATGTTCATCAAGGATATTGGTCTAAAATTCTCACTTTTGGTTGTGTCTCTGCCCGGCTTTGGTATCAGGATGATACTGGCCTCATAAAATGAGTTAGGGAGGATTCCCTCTTTTTCTATTGATTGGAATAGTTTCAGAAGGAATGGTACCAGTTCCTCCTTGTACCTCTGGTAGAATTCGGCTGTGAATCCATCTGGTCCTGGACTCTTTTTGGTTGGTAAGCTATTGATTATTGCCACAATTTCAGCTCCTGTCATTGGTCTATTCAGATATTCAACTTCTTCCTGGCTTAGTCTTGGGACAGTGTATGTGTGGAGGAATTTATCCATTTCTTCTAGATTTTCTAGTTTACTTGCATAGAGATGTTTGTAGTATTCTCTGATGGTAGTTTGTATTTCTGTGGGATCGGTGGTGATATCCCCTTTATCATTTTTTATTGCATCTATTTGATTCTTCTCTCTTTTTTTCTTTATTAGTCTTGCTAGCGGTCTATTTTGTTGATCCTTTCAGAAAACCAGCTCCTGGATTCATTAATTTTTTGAAGGGTTTTCTGTGTCTCTATTTCCTTCAGTTCTGCTCTGATTTTAGTTATTTCTTGCCTTCTGCTAGCTTTTGAATGTGTTTGCTCTTGCTTTTCTAGTTCTTTTAATTGTGATGTTAGGGTGTCAATTTTGGATCTTTCCTGCTTTCTCTTGTGGGCATTTAGTGCTATAAATTTCCCTCTACACACTGCTTTGAATGTGTCCCAGAGATTCCGGTAAAATATTTTCTAACTAATGAAATAAAGTACAGAATTTATACACTTTATGGATCTGGAAGAAATTATTATTATATATGTTAAGAATTTTGTTCAATGAAAATTATACAGAATGCTTTGCCTGCTATTTTGGAAAAGGATATGTATTTATTTGTAGGGAGATTATATCTCACTACAATTTTACTTTCTTTTTTCTTTTTCTTTTTTTTTTTTTGAGATGCAGTCTCACTCTGTTTTCCAGGCTGGAATGTGGTGGCACCATCTTGGCTCACTGCAATCTCCGCCTCCCAGGTTTAAGCGATTCTTGTGCCTAGGCCTCATGCCCGGCTAATTTTCTGTTGTTGTTGTTTTCAGTAGAGATGAGGTTTCACCATGTTGGCCAGGCTGGTCTCAAACTCCTGGTCTCAAGTGATCTACCTGCCTCAGCCTCCCAAAGTCCTCGGATTACAGTCATGAGCCATCGTGCCTTACCAAAACTTTCTGAAACTGAGTAAACGTTTTTAAATATATTTATATAATCTCTGTGTACTATTAGAAAACCAATGTATTAAGAAACCATTGATTTCTTTTTCAGAATTTAATTTTAAATTCTGTGGTTTTACAATTTTATAATTCTAATTCATGTTTAGCTGATGTACCATGCATTTAGAAATATATTTAATGAATAAATCACTAACATCTAACATATACTAAGAACTTGTTATGAATTTGTCATTGATTAGGGCAATTAGATTTGCATAGCTAATTTCTTTCTCATAGTCATCCTTAAAGCTATGCATCATTATTCAGATTTATTGATGTGGAAACTGACACTTGCATTGATTAAGTAAGTAACCTATAGCAAGTAATCTAGTTCCAGATAAGTTCATTGAAATCCAAGCCATCTTATCTTACTCAGGGGGAGAGGAAGTAACAAGACCTGTCCTGCAGAATTTCATAAACATGTGGTCCCTGTCTAATTCATCTCTTGCCTAGGACAAAAGAATTATGTAATCCAATTTTAATTATTGGTTTTTGGTGTGTATTTAAATTCTGTCAATTCTCATTTTCCCTCCTAACTTTTTTTCCATCGGCTAAGAGGAACCTTATGAAGAACACAAGCAAGCAAGACCAATCATATGACACTGCTGTGGGCAATAAGCCTCATCAACTCAATGATTTATGACAGAAATGTCCTACCTTTTTAGCTGGGCAAGCTCTGAGTTCATGGCTTTTTCACTTCTTCATTATAAACTAATCCAGCTATTTGAGTTCATTTTCTCTCAGCTAATTTTTTTTCAGTGGATTGGATAATTTCTAATTCAAACTTTTGTCTTAATATTGCTGATCCCATCTGTGCACCTCTCTAGAATCTTATATTGGCTTTCTCTCCCTACACCCCACTCCATTTCATACTATCCAGTGCACATTTTCGCAGCATTCCCAAAAGTCTACTTCTCCAGGTTAAACTACAGTCAGTCTTGGTTCCATACAGTACTGATGTGAGTCACAAGGCAGTCTGCTCATTCATCTCCTTTATAGTACTGTTTTAGGACACAGGATTTTTTTTTAAGCAATAGGAAAGGCAAACATGTTTAATATAGAACATAGTAAATGTCTTAATTAAAAAGTGGTACTATTTCCACATCTCATTCTGGGGCACAAATATTGACTCTTACCCATTTAAAGCCTAATTCTACAGAGACTTGAATGGGGTTAATTTAGGACACACACATCTGGATGTGTGTATTTCTCAGAATATTTAAGCCAAGTACTTAGCAGCACACACCACCTAGATTCACACATGGTACCCTCAAATAGGAAAGCTATTGCCCTTATCTGCCTCCCCCCATCCCCAGGGGGATTAATTTTAAATTAAGAATTATAATCTACTGCTCAGCTTTTATAATTCCCAAACTCTAAAGCGTATGTATATATGACCAAATACTTTTGATCATGACCTTTCTGGAAGCAAAGCTGGTATTTAATTATAGAGTGGTTTTAAAAGCCTCTGGTTTAACTTGTACTATTTCCTTTTGCACTGGATTATAGATGATCTGATTTATGGGGCACATTTACTTAGAAGTTGTTTAGAGTTTTTTTTTTTCTCTCTCTCTCTTTTTTGCTTGATTTATTGATTAACTTACATTCCAATTTTCTTAAAGTATTAAAGAACCCTAGGTAAAACAGTTAATAAAGTAAATAATCTAATTCAATGTGTTGAGTAGTTAAAACCTCAAGTCCACATTCAGAGTCTTTAAAAATTGAAAAATACCAGTAAAATCATATTATATTAGCTTAACCATAGATAAACTATTGTTGTTTTTGTTATCTAAAATTTATGAAAAAGTTACGATATTTCCCAAACTTTTCACAAATATCAAATTATACAAAACAAGACTTTCAATCTAAAAATATCTTCTTTCTTACACTTTTCACTTTTCTACCAGATTTATTAAAATTTTATTTTTGAAAACTCTAAATTAGATTATTCTATTGCTTCAAATCCAGTTTTGCCATTGGTATAACACACAGACATTGTAGCATGACATGCAATGTCTTTATATACCGACGTTTCTTAATTTTCTTACATTTTTTTATCATTTGCTACAAACAATCCGTGTCTTATTTTTCCTTTTCCTAAATGTCCCTACTAGTCTCCAAATCAACAATATTGTCCCATCCCTCCATGCCTTTTTTGTTAATGCTATCTTCTTTTCATGAAAAGGACTATACTTTTTCTATAGTCAAAAAATTTTACTTTGTTAAATATTCAACTAAAAAGCCACTCCTTTGAAGCTTTCTCTATTTCTTATCTCTAAGATTACTTATCCTCCTCTCTAGCCTCTTTATATAGATAACATTTGCATCTGTATATTTATTTACAACATTTTCTGAAAAGCATAACACTATAGCACCAGCATTAGAATCATATGATTATGGGAAAATTAATAATTTGGGGACCCCCCTCAGAAACTACCCAATCAAAAAGTGGTGACATATAGTAACTGAATTGTAAATAAGCACTCCAGGTCATTCTTATGGGAATTCAGAATTGAGAACTACTACCCTTGATGATGAGCTTCTTAAGGACAGACTATTTACTGGTCTTTTATTTTACTTCTAGAGATAATAGGTTAAAGAAAATAGTACTTAGGTATATAACTCTCAATATATCTTCATTAAAAGAATGGAATTACAGTACCAAAATAACAATGCCACTAAACCCTTTTAGTGCTCTGCTAACAAAAATACGTTCAGCAAAAAAGGTGGAATTTGTTCTTACTTATTAATTATACTATTCATCCATGATTTCCAAATCTATTTTTGGTTGTGAAAAACCTTTAAATTAAACAGTAGTACAGAGATTTGCCACTTGGCTAGAACTCACTTCTTATTACTCCACCATTGAACCGGTAGAGCAGAACATCTTCGAACCCAGATTGAAAACATTATATAGATACAAATATTAATGTAGAACTCTTGAACATTAGAAATTCTAATGAATCACTGAGTTTATATTTAGTTTACTGACACATTATATCTAATACAAATGTGTAAAAATAGTCGTATATTCTTAGGCCATGCATTTGAATATTTTAAAAATATATTTTAAAATTTTATGTTGAATAGGTTGGAGTGATTGTACAACTGCAAACAACTATTCTCAGCTACTTCTTTCATCCTCCTAGTCCCAGTAATTAATCCACATCATTGCAGCCAGACAACTTTCTAATGCCTGTAAAGGGAAGAATTTCGGCTAACACTATCTAAGCACAATTTGACAAAGAAGATGAACAGAGAAATAAGGAAGGACATGACCAATTGATGGCTTCTACTGAAGTTCATTCCTTCCTACACATAATTTTTTACTTTGCAATGATTCTTCTTTTAATGTATCGTTCTAATTACTAAATTA
The DNA here is from genome assembly GCF_000001405.40 of Homo sapiens. Taxonomy (NCBI): domain Eukaryota; kingdom Metazoa; phylum Chordata; class Mammalia; order Primates; family Hominidae; genus Homo; species Homo sapiens. The sequence goes on along the minus strand of NC_000003.12, from coordinate 164,032,643 downwards.
GATCTTAGCTCTAAGACAGAAATATACATTATCTTCAACATATTGAGTTTTTGAAAGTTGTAGCAGTGCTTTTGTAACTTGGCTAATAGGTACAAAAATATAGTTAGATATAAAGATTAAGTTCTAGTATTTGATAGTATAATAGGAAAATTATAGTTAACAATAATTTGTATAATTTAAAATAGAAGAGAAGAATTTTAATATTCTCAACACAAAGAAAAGATGGATTTGAGTTGATGGAAATCCCAATTACCCTTATTTGATCATTACACATTGCATACAGTATCAAAATATCACTTGTACCCCTAAAATATTTACAACTTTTATAAACCTATAAAAAACAAAAAAAGGCATCTCTAGTTTTGTTAATTAGAATGTAAACAAGTGTTAAATCAAGTTTTACCTGAAACTGCCTCCTTACATATTTTAAGTTCTGCCTAAAGTTTTTTTTTTTCCATATACAGTGAACAGCAACATAACTGAATGTGTAAACAGACTGTAACCTACTCTTATGCCAATCACTGAGTTTTAGCCAAAGGTGGCCAACTGTTCAAACTGTATTCAAATAAGGCAAACACTAAGCTACTGAGCTGTAAACAGTTCAACTGTCTGTACCTCTTTATTTATTTTATTTTATTTTTGAGATGGAGTCTCATGCTTGTTACCCAGGCTAGAGTGCAGTGGCGTGATCTCCATCTTGGCTCACTGCAACCTCTGCCTCCCGGGTTCAAGTGATTCTCCTGTCTCAGCCTCCCAAATAGCTGGTATCACAGGCGCCCACCACCAGGCCCAGCTAATTTCATTGTTTTTAATTTTTAGTAGAGATGGGGTTTCACCATGTTGGCTTGACTGGTTTCGAACTCCTGACTTCAGGTGATTCTCCTGCCTAGGCCTCCCAAAGTGCTGGGATTATAGGCTGGGCCACCACACCCAGCCCTCACTTCTGTTTTCTATACTTCACTTTCCTTTTCCTGTCCATAAATCTTCAACCCAGCGGTAGCACTGTAGTCTTTATGAATCTGCTGTGATTCTGGGGTCTGCCTGATTCAGGAATTGTTATTTACTCAGTTAATCTCTGTTAAATTTGTGTAAAGTTTTTCTTTTAAAACAAGGTAGATTTTTAAACAATTCTTTGATGTGGATCCTAAGCTCTTGCTCATTCAATTTCAAGGACCATAGAAAATTAAGTCTAAATTTGGAAAGTATGTTACAGTTTTAAGTTAGATTTTCAGGAAGTTGAATATTAAGTTAATAATTTCTAGCTAATATGTGTATCTTTTTTCTGCAAAAACATTTAAATACTTTATTCTACACATTAGTTTATTTTAAATATATCATTTTGCTGATCATGAGGAAACTCACATCAATTGTCATGGAACACCTCTTTCTGGCCTCATAGTTTTAGTTCCCTGATTTCCAATTTCTGAAGCTTGGAATACAAGTTTGAAATTAGAGAAATGTTTATGAAATTTTTATTGGTTTTAATGTATGCCTAAAGTGACTAAAACTGGAAAAATAATGGGGTGGATAAGGGATATTCCAAGCAAAAGGCACACTGTTGGGGAAGAATCTTTGATGGTAAAGAGTAATATCAAATGGAAGAGCGCAGATCTATCTTGTTAATCAACACAGGGCTTATGTTGAAAATTAGTGAAACATAATGTAAGAGATATGCACAAAGCAAGATCAGGTAGATTTTAAAATATAACTTTAGATATGGTATGGAAGAAAAAAATACAGAAGCTCTGAAGCAGATAGAATTCGTTTGATGTAGGGCTGAAATTGAAAGTTCAAACTGCAAACATTAAGTACTTGTCTAAGGTTCTGTGGTTATTTCTACCTACTCTTGTGGGGCACATAACACCCCACTGGGAAGACTAGGGATGGAGAAAAGGTATATAGACTGTATTAGACATGTAAATATTTGACCATTTCTTTCAACTGTAGGTGCTGAAAGTTGTGATACCTTTCCATACCCATCATAAGTCTCACAACTGATGCTGTCATAACAACAACAACAAAAAGGTTAACAAGAGAAAAGCGTAACAATTTTATTAAATCAAGTTTTTACATGATTTTGGGAGGCTTCAGAAATAAAGACCCAAAGACCCAGGGAAAATTATCCATTTTTATGCTTAGATTCGATGAAAAATTGACAGCTGAGTGGAGATGTGATTGGACAAAAGGGTATGATCTAATGGTAATGGACTGAGAAGGAGATCTAGCCGGACTTGTTTGTTCAGATTCTTCTTGGCTTCTCTACGTGGCATTCCTTCCTCCTAGTGTGGGGCAGAACCCCTCTGAAACGATAGAAGGAAGAAAGGAGAGAGAGACACCTTTCTAAACTTTTAAGAAAACTTCTTTTTCTATCTATAAGCCAGGAGGTAAGTACAAATTAAATGTTGGTCTTCATTACTACCAGTAAACTTCCTCAAACTGCTGCTAGAGAATGATTTAACATGCCACAGAGCTTTGCACTGTAAAGAAAGATTAAACAATGAATATTGCTAAAAGACAGTCTAAATGCCAAAATAATATTCAGCACAATATATGTTATGACAATGTTTCTCAAATTGTTATCCCTATACTACCTGAATCAGGATCACCTACAGTGCTTGATAAAGTATAGATATCTGGTCCTGCCACAAATTACTTGATGACACTTTTGAGGGGAGGGGAAAAAATACCATTATTTTTCAGTGAAAATATCACAGGTGATTGTTATGTTTGCAATGCTTCAGAATAGAACAGTTGTTTTCAATGGTTAAGAACAGACCAATTAGGACATGCTTATGTAGCTAATTATGAAGAGCTGTTAATGAAAATTTGAATATTCAAACCTCTCACCAATTATTCCACAGAAGCATGGAAATGATATGAATTGATGAAAAAGGAAGATACTGGAGCTCCTTTAAAGAATGCTGTCACGCCATAAGTGGAAGTACTGTGGTAGAAGAGAGACTATAAAATATTGATGGACTATTGACCTGAGGTAGCAAAGGAAGATAAAAGCAAATTCTCTGAGTGCACAAAGAAGCTACCCGTCTCCATAGTGTGGAAAAGAACTTCAATATTAACATCAATAATGAGTTATCGTTGTCTGAAATACATTTTTCTTGTTACCATATCAGAATTGTATTCATTTCAGTTTCAGAGAAAAAAAACATATTTTTTTAAATTTCATAATTATGTTTTCTGTTGCATAAGAACAGTTCACGTGGAGAGGTGCTTCGAAATATACATCTTATTATCATTAAATCCTAGCCATTGTGGCTATCTTCATAAGACAGTCCAACAGTTGAGCTGTTTGGGAGTTTATTTGCTTGGTGTCTTGATTTTAAGTTATTAAAAAGTTGTACCTGCCCAAATGTTGTTCATGCCTGAAAATAATGTTCATTGAACTTAAATTTTCCCATTCTAGGATCCTGCACTTGGCAGCTTTGTGTTGCTAGAAAAACTCATATTGCCAAGAAAATTGGAGGCATTACATATTTATGGTTTCCAACTTAAAGTAGAATCCTAGAGTGCTCAGCATTCCTTTTCATGGCATTGTACCTCAAACAATAAAAAAGAAAAAAAGAAAGAAAAAAATAAGCTTATCAGAAAACAAACAAAAACATGTGCATTTGTATTCACATTAATTCTCTTCATGGAAACCCTTTCTCTACTTCCCTAATCCACAAAAAGATTTCTTTTTAAAATTAAGCTCTAATATTATGTGTTCAGTGAAATTTGTCTTGATTTTACCATTCTTCTCTCTTCCTTGAAATCATAATTAGTTGAAGTTGTGTGTGTGTGTGTTTATAGCATATTTTATACATTTCTATTTAAACTTTAACTTGAAACATTTGGAAGCATATAAATCTTTCTCACTGGTCTTTGTGATCTAAAAATCAGAAACATTGTATGAATCATGTTTCTGTCTTCATGGCCTTGTTGGAGCTCAGAAACCAATACACCAAACTATGACACTTTGATGTGCTAAACTGAAGAATCCTCAACATCTCTCTGATCTGAGCCTACTCTTCCTGTCTCTCAAACCTGCCTCTTCCAAAGAACAGGATGAAGTTGTTCTTGGAAGTTACCTTATCTGCCTAAAGTCTGGACATAACAAAAAAGAAAACAAGTATCTCAGGTCCCTTCTCTTGTGTTTTACTAACTGAATTCACATTGCAGGAAGACTGAAGTCTATCAACACACCTGAAGAGACTTCAGTGACAAACCAGTGTTCTGCCAACCCAACAGACTTTGTCCCAGGTGACTGTATGTTCTTCAAGCCTATTGACTCCCCCTAAAAATTATTTACTATCCCCTAAAATCATCCACACTTTATATATCTCTTTCCCTAAGAGAAGGGTATATAGCCATCTGTTCCCTATCGTCTGGTGGGGTAATCACTCTGTGGTTCTCTTGTACACATCAATAAATTTGTATCCTTTTATTATATGAATCTACCTTTTGTCGGTTACTTTTCAGTGAAACTTCAGAGGGTGAAGGATAAAGTTTTCCCTTGGCCCCTACAGCCTTTTATTATCAAACCTAAGAGGTTCAGTGACTGACAACACCATAATGAAACAGATTCAGTAGACGCTGATTTAAAAAGTACATTAAAGAATTGATGTAAATAGACCAAGGCAAGTTTTAATAATGTTAGAATTATAAAGAAAATTAAATTGCATGAGATTAAATAATTATAAAGACAGCCTAGATAGCTAATTATATTTATAACTTATTCTCCCATCTACAGTTTTTTTTAAACATTCTGATTTAAATAAAGGAGTGCTATATTTTACTTGTTAATCTAAATTTCTGATATGTCTCTCAATTTAGTAATAGAAAACTATATTATTTTGTAAATAATTTTATCTTAAAATTTATATATAGTTCAAGTTCCATCCCTGGTAGATACACAAGTATTTATAATTTTTATTTTGCAAGAGAATTTGAAATAAAATTTATAAAGTAATTTGACCTTTACAATTGACAATTTGAATTATGCTTTGCATTTGCCTAGTTAGGGGTTAATTATGAAAATGATAAAATTAAAATAATGTGTATTAAAATGTCATTACTAGATAATATAAATCAACAAGTTTATTTAAGGAGACTCAGTGTTTAAAGAATCAAAGTTTGTAATTTGTGTCATAAGCCAAATATCTAAGAACATATCATTTATTTCAAAAAAGCAAATTTTCATTCTAGAATATTTGACAAATTTTTTTGACAAAAAAATGACAAAAAAATGAAGTGACTGGGCATATTGTATCTAACTCCCTTTATATCAAATTAAATATATTAAAGACATTTTTTCTTAATGTGACATCTATACAATATATTCTTTAAAATATTTGTGTGGATAAATATATAAACACACACAGATACACACAGACTGACTCTACCATATTTAATACTACATTTTATTATTTTTTGTCATATCAACTTCCTAGTTATTCAAAAAATGATTTTTTTCTTCAGTTACAAACATATAAACACTTTTGTTAAGTTCCAAAAACATGTTGATTATATTTAATCTCATCTTTCATTATTTTAGAACAAAAATGCTACACTCTTATCAGTTTAAATAATTTTATTTAGCTTTATCTCGATTTGTTTCAAAATATAGTTAGTTCTTCAATGTTATGCCTTTTTTGATACCTAAAATTAGGGCATTTTGGCTACTGAGAAAAATGAAGAGGCAAAAATTCACTCTGACCTTCTTCCACCTTTCTTCTAGTCTAAAGCATGGTTATAAAATAATTATTTTGCCTCCCTCACCTGAAAGTAGGTCATAAGACCCTCATTCCGAAAAGTACTGCCCTCTGCCTGGAGGCAAAGAAGAATCTGAACAAACAAGCCTTGTTAATTTCCTCCCATTTCATTACTATTAGGTTGTACTTTTTAAGTCCAATTGTGTTTCTCTCCACAACTACCCACTTCTTTCTTCAGACTTAGCATAAAAACCCAGTTTTCCCTGGCCTTTGAGTTTTTGCTTTAAAAATCTTCTATGTCATGTAAATCTTTGTTTAAATAAATTTGCGATGTTTTTCTTTTGTTGTTCTTTCTTTTGTTATAGGAGTGCCAATAACCACCCTTGCAATGAGTGAGGAAAAGATATTACTTTTTCTCTCCTACATCTAAGCAAGATAATTATTTTGTCGGCACTTGAGTCAGTCTCAGTTTTAGCACTATATATTTAGTTGCATTACTTATTTTCTAATGTTACAAAGGAAATGAATAATATTTTAGAAGGAAAAGTAGAAATATTAGGGAAAAGATATTTACAAATAAAATCAAATTCAGAGTAGAGTCATAATTGTCACTGGACATGAGGAAGAATTATTTTGATTTTATTGATGAATAAATGAAAGCCAGATGAGAGTGACATAATCACAATATTTAGCAAGGAATAATTTGGGAACTCTCTTCCAGGTGAAAAATATGAAGAGGGACCAGGGAAGGGGATTTGCATTCTTAAGAAATAAATTGAACTAGGTGTGGATTACTTTGTGTTAGGTTCCATCCAACTGGACTGTTTCCCCCTCCCATAGACCTAAGCCCCAGAGGCCAAAAAGTAAAACCTCCTACCCCAAACCTGCCTGTAACTGTTTGACCGGAGGCCAGCTGTCCCAGGATGCAGTTAAGACGTCTACCTTGTACCACAGAACTGGCAAGAAAAGCATCTCCAGGAAGCAGTCAGACACCTGGCACAAAGGACCCCCGCCCCGTGCCCCCTTTTATTTTTCCTACACCCTGAGCCAGTTCTACACCCTATAAAACCTTACTATAGCCTGTAAGCGGGGCTGCCTCCTCTGCTTTTATCAAGAGGTAGCCTGGCAGGACTGACAATAAATCAGCTTGCCTGAACTTGGGCCTATTGGCCTTATTCCTTTCTTGGCTGTCCTTCCAATTATCCCTTACATCTTGGTGCCAAAACCCAGGAAGGTGGTAGAGTTCGACTTCCCCTTCTCCCTCTCTCCTTCCCTCCCCCTCTTCTCCCGGCTGAACTCCCCCTTCCAGAACCTTCAGGAGACCCAGAGGATTTCCTACTCCTTTCCATTGCTGGCAGACACATCCAACACCAGGGCCACCTCAGGGGGAGTAAAGGAGACTTCTGCCTTCTGTCTGGAACCCTTGTCCGCTCTTTCCCTCCGGAAAGACCCAGCGCTGGGCCAACGGTTTCCTCCTCCCGGCCTCCAGACCCTCGGTATTTCCCTTGTAGGGATGCCTGAACAGGGGATTATTGCACCTCTCCGACTTGAACTGTGGGACAGGGGACGCCTTCTCCCTTCGTTCTAGTCTGCGGCCAAGTCTCCCATCACCACCTCTCCCTCACTCATTCTACCATGGGAGCCTCTGAGTCCACTCCCTCAAAGACGTCCCCCCTCGGATGTCTCCTCCATAACCTTAATGCCCTCGGCCTCTGTTCCAAAATTCGGCCAAAAAGGCTCATATTTTATTGTAACACAGCCTGGCCTCAGTATAAATTGGACAATGGCGCCCAATGGCATTCGATTTTAACATCCTCAGGGACCTAGACAACTTTTGCCATCGCAATGGAAAGTGGTCTGAAATCCCTTTTGTTCAGTCCTTTTTTGTCCTCTGCAGTCGCCCCTCCCTTTGTCAGTCCTGTTGTGCTTTCCAAATCCTCTTCATCCGCTCCAAGCCTGACTCATCCTTCCTTCTGACGATTCTTTCTGTCAGAAGAAGCTCCCCTTCCTTCTGACGATTCTTTCGCTTTTGACACTGCTGACTTCCCTCTGCCCAGTCAACATAATAATCCTCTGCCTGATCATCATGACCCTCTGCCCCACGCTCCTGCTCCTGCCCTCCCTCCTTTCCCCCTTTCTCCAACGACCCAGCTTCTGACTCTGATTCATCCCCATCTCCACCTGGTACCCACTCTCGAACTCAGCATCCCCAACAACCAGCCCCCATACTTCCCCTCTGAGAGGTGGCCAGAGCCAAAGGCATCATTCGCGTCCACACTCCCTTCTCCCTCTCTGACCTCTCCTAAATTGAAAAACGTCTCGGGTCCTTTTCCTCCGATCCCGACAGTTATATCAAAGAATTTAAATACCTTACCCAATCTTATGAACTCACTTGTCATGATCTCTACATTATCCTGTCTTCTACCCTCCTTCCAGAAGAGAAGGAAAGAGTGTGGCTCACAGCACAGGCACATGCCGACTATCTTCATCCACAAGACCCTACTAAGCCTGTAGGGGATGCTGCAGTTCCCCCGGAGGAACCCCCCTGGGAGTACCAACCCACTGACCCTGGCCGGGCATCTCATAACCATATGATTACTTGCCACATCGCAGGCCTTAACAAAGCAGTCCATAAGGCCATAAATTTTGAAAAGCTCAAATAAAACTCCCAAAGAGCCGATGAAAACCCCGCCGAATTTCTTTCCCACCTTACAGAGGCCCTCCAAAAATATACCCACGTTGACCCCACCTGCTGGGAAGGAGTTATTGTTCTTAATACCCATTTCATCTCTCAGTCTGCTCCTAACATAGGGTGCAAACTTAAAAAGGCCAAAGATGTCCCTCAAACCCCACAACAAGACCTCCTTAACCTGGCTTTCAAAGTCTTCAATAACAGGGATGAGCAGATTAAATTAGACAAGGCCCAAAGAGATCATGCTAAATACAGGCTTCTGGTAGCAGCTATCTGTCAGCCTAGCCATAGTACCCAAGGGCACAAACAACCCAATTGCAGTAACCCCCCTGGCCTTGTTTTAAGTGTGGCAAAGAAAGTCACTGGGCATGGGCATGTCCTAACCCAAGGACACCAAAAGTTCCTTGCCCAGCCTGCCAACAGACCAGCCACTGGAAGTCTGATTGTCCTGTTAACAACCAGGCTAACAGACCAACTCTTCAAAGCCCTGGCAAGGCAGAGAGTGAAAGATTGCTCACCCTCCTGCAGCTCCTTGGCCTGGCTGCTGAAGGCTGACAGAGCCCAGGTCCCCCGGCGCCATCTGCCATCACTGCATCAGAGCCCAGGGTAACTCTGCTAGTAGCAGGTAAGCTGATCTCATTTTTGGTCGATACCGGGGCCACCTACTCAGCTTTGCCTGAATTTTCAGGACCCACTCATCCCTCCCAGGTCTCTGTTGTGGGGGTTGATGGATTCATCTTACATCCATGTGCCACTGAGTCCCTTACTTGCTCCTTGTTTAATACTATTTTTTCACCCTCCTTCCTTATAATGCCTGTTGTCCCACCCCCGTTCTAGGCCGAGGACTTTTAGCTAAATTCAAAGCTTCCATCACTTTTTCCTGCCTCTCTCAACCAGAGTCCCTTCTGCTCCTCTCCGCTAGTCCAGCCACTGACGCTTCTCCCCAGTACCCGCTTCCCTCTTCTCTTCTTAACCTGGTGGTGTGAGATACCACCACCCCTTCCATAACTACACATCATAACCCCATCAAAATCCAGTTAAAGGACCCCTCCAAATTTCCTAATGTTCCCCAATACCCCATCTCCCTAACCCACCAAAAGGGCCTCCAACCTATTATAAACAAGCTGTACTCATGCGGCCTTCTTAGACCAACACATTCTCCATATAACACCCCCATCCTCCCCATTAGAAAATCGGACGGCTCATACCGACACATTCAGGACCTCTGAGCCATTAGTCAGGCTGTCTTCCCTATTCACCCTGTGGTCCCTAACCCCTATACACTCCTCTCCCTCATCCCCTCCAACACCACCCACTATACAGCAATTGACCTAAAGGATGCTTTCTTTACCATTCCCTTACACCCTAATTCCTAAGATCTCTTTGCCTTCACCTGGACTGACTCTGACACTCTTCCGTCACAATAACTCACATGGACTGTCCTCCCTCAAAGCTTCAGAGACAGCCCTCACTTCTTTGGACAAGCTCTAGCCCAGGACCTCACCTCCTTAAACCTTTCCCCCAGCAGCTTCCTCCAATACATTGACGATCTCCTTCTTTCCAGCCCCTCCCTAGAGGACTCCCAAACTCACACCATCACCCTTCTAAACTTCCTTGCTAGCAAAGGATATAGGGTCTCCCCCTCCAAAGCCCAAATATCCGCCCCAACAGTAACATACTTAGGAGTCCAACTCTCCCCCCAGGGCCCAAGCCATGACCTCAGCACAAGCGACCTTAACAAACAGCTTGCCTCTGCCTTCTTCAAAAAATGAAATTCTCTCTTTCTTAGGATTGCCAGGTTTCTTTAGAATATGGATTCCCAACTTTGTCCTCCTGGCTCAGTCCCTCTATGAAGCAGCCAAAGGCCCCCTCTGTGAACCCCTAAGCCCCCCACACAACATATTTCCCAGTTTCTGGAAACTCCAAACCACTCTCATCACTGAACCTGCCCTGTCCTTAGCTGACATCTCCCAACCCTTTGTTCTCTATACAACTGAAAACCAAGGAATAGCTCTCAGGGTCTTAGGGTGACAAAAGGGAAATCTTCCTTCCTTTGCCCTGTGGCATACCTCTCTAAACAACTAGACAACACTATCAAAGGGTGGCCAACCTGTCTTAGAGCATTAGCAGCAGCGTCCATTTTAGCTCTGGAAAGCAAAAACTAACATTCAGCCAAACCACCACCGTCCACAGCCCTCACAACTTACAGGATCTCCTCTACTCCTAGGCGCTAAGCTCCCTCCTTCCCGAATTCTGTCACTCCATGCTGTCTTTATTGAAAATCCCAAATTCAGCCTCACCAAAAGTGCCCCCCTCAGAATCCCTACTCCCCATATCCTCTTCCCCTCCTACTCATTCTTGCACTGACACTCTGGATCACCTGCAGCCACACTTCCCTAACATCTCCTCCAAGCCTCTCATTAACCCAGATGACCAACTATTCATAGATGGCTCCTCTTCTGGAGCCCCTGGCTCTCCCCAAATTGCTGAATATGCAGAAGTTACCTTAGACTATGTAACTGAAGCTAAAGTCTGACCCCCAGGAACCTCCTCCCAGAAGGCAGAACTTCTAGCTCTCACCAGAGTCCTAACTCTCTCCAAAAAAAAACGGGTCAACATATACAAAGACTCCAAGAATGCTTATCACATTCTTCGTTTCCATGCCACCATCTGGCAAGAGAGAGGATTCCTTTCCACCAAAGAAACCCCCATTATTTAAGGCCCCACTATTTACCAACTCTTTCAGGCCTCACACCTCCCAACTGAAGCAGGAGTCATACATGTCAAGGACATCAAACAGGATCAGATAAAATATCAAGAGGAAATAAAAAGGCCAATGAGGCAGCAAAACAGGCCTCCCTTTCTTCTATCCCTGCCCCCATCCTCCTTGCCACCCCAGCAGTCTGACCCAGATAATCTCCCACTGAAAAGGCTTCGCTACTACAGCAAGGAGCCTCCCTTCAAGGGGACTGGATAATCAAAAACCAAAAGGTCATTCTTCCCCAAGAGCAAAACAAGGAAATTCTAACATCTCTTCACCAATCCTTCCATATCGGTGGGCGCCCCCTGTACCTACTCCTTCACCCTTATTTCTCCTCCCCCCATCTATTCACCTCAGTAAAGGACATAACCTCAAACTGTCATTTATGCTCTGTTACTTCCTCCCAAGGGACCCTCCGCCTTCTCCTCATCCTTACACATCATCTCAGAGGAACACTTCCAGGGGAGGACTGGCAGGTAGACTTCACCCACATGCCTCCCGTCAAAAAAACTAAATATCTTCTTACCCTCGTAGACACTTTTTCAGGTTGGGTAGAAGTATTTCCTACCCCTTCAGAAAAAGCTGCAGAAGGCTCTCAAATTCTCATGACAGAAATCATCCATAGATTTGGTCTCCCTCACTCCACACAATCAGGTAATGGCCCTAGCTTCATCTCCCAAATTACCCAACAAGTCTCTCAATCCCTTGGCATTCAGTGGCATCTCCATATCCCATACTGGCTCCAGTCATCCGAAAAAGCTGAGAGGGCAAATGGAATTCTCAAAACCCAGTTAAGCAAACTCACACTTGAGGTCAAAAAACCTTAGACCTCCCTTTTACCCATAGCACTGACACATATCAGAGCCAGTCCAAAGGCTCCCTCCTTCCTCAGTCCATTCAAGTTAATGTATGGACGCCCTTTCCTCTTACAAAACAGACTGACCCCCTCCTGACTCTCAATTAGGAGCGTACCTTCCAACCCTCTCCCTCATCCATCATCTCCTCCGTGAACAAGCTGACCAGGCCCTCCCAAAACTTCACCAAGGCCCCACTGACCAGACACTCCTTCCAGGAGACTATTTCTTCCTAAAAACCCTTACTTCAATGAGTTTCAAACCAAAGTGGTAAGGCCCTTTCCAAATCCTTCTCACTACCCCCACCACAGCCAAACTTCCAGGACACAACTCTTGGTACCATCTTTCCAGGTTAAAAAAGGCCCCTGCAGCTGGCCCACCACCTACTAACCGACCAGCTGTTCCCTGCAAATGTACCAGCACTCTTCTCAGACCAATTCGACTCCACCTAATGCCCATCCCGGAAGACCCCACTCTTCCCCCATGAACCATCACAGATAGGTTATAAGCCCTTACCTTAAGTATCCAAATTTTATTAATGAAAATCTTCTATTACGCTGCCCTTGCAGTAATCACCCTGCTTACTCTACTCTTTGTCATAGGACTATATATGGTCTCACCTCCCAGGTGGAATTTCAGACAAAAAATCTCAATATTCATAAACTTTTGCCTCATAATCCTCCTTATAGCAGGTATAATAGCCACCAACAGATAGCTGCCCCTCCTAAATGTCCTGTCTTTGCCCATCCTGCGGTTTCACCCTCTTCCTTCACTGCGTCACAGAAAACATTTCATGGTCCTACCCAGAACATCCCGCCCTCATGGCATTCCTTGATTGGATCACCGATCTTATATTCAAGGGGATTTACAGGAATTCACTCCAGATGAAGCCGAATTCTTTACCTTTACACTTGCTCTCTGCCTATTTACTCCCTCTTCCCTCCTCCTTCTCACTACCACTCCACCTTCAGCACACCATTCAACAGGCACATACAATACTCAATCAAACTAACCCCTCCCTGGCCAAGGCCTGCTGGTATACCCCTAAGAAACCATATCAAAGGATGCCTTCCCAGTTCCCCTCAAAGACTGGGTTCTCACCAGTATAACCCTCCACCCCTGCTACCAAAGTTTCAGAGGAGTAAATGAACTCAAAAGTTACAAACTCAATCTTACTACACATACTTCAGAACACAAGATTGTCTTAGGAGCACTTACCTCAGACTCAAAACTCAGCCAACAAGCATCCCTATGCATAAACATGAACTTTCCTCAGGAGTCCCCCTAGGCACCCTCTCTTCTAGCTTATGCAACTGTACTCTGACACTCATTCTCCCAACAGGCATCCAAACAGTAACAGCAACAAACCCCACACAAATTCTCAAAATCTCCAACCCCCCTCAGACCCAAGTCATGGAAAAAACATCAGGATTCTGCAATAACTGAGACAGGCCCTGAATACAAATCACAGGGTGGAGCACTTGACTAAATGCCATCCCCACTTCCGAATGCATGGAAATCCCACTGCCTAACACACCCTCAAACAAACTACTTATTGACACAAAACGCTTCTTTCTACACTCCGAAAAATCAACAGTAGGAGCTAGCCAGTTCACCTCAGCACTCCTCCTTCAACCCCTAACCAGAGCGGCTCTAGCCTCCTCCCTCCATGCCTGGTGCTAGGAGAACAACATTTTACACCCCCTTTTTGCCATACATTTCCAATTCTGCCTCCCTAGCCAAGGTGTATTCTTTCTATGTGGCACCTCCACCTACTTCTGTCTACCCACCAACCGCACAGGCACCTGTACACTGGTTTTCCTCACCCCTAAAATAGACATAGCTCCAGGAGAAAACCTGCTCCTCCAAACCCTAAATACTCAAATCCCACACCGCAGGCACAGAGCCATACAGCTTATCCCACTACTGGTAAGCCTAGGTATCACAGCGGCCGCAGGCACAGGAGTAGCAGGAATCGCAACTTCCTCTTGGTACCATAAAACCTTATCAAAAGACCTTTCAGATGGATAAACAACCTTGCAACTTCCATATCCACCTTACAAGCCCAGCTAGACTCCCAAGTAGCAGTCGTCTTAAAAAATCGCCGAGGTCTCGACCTACTGACTGCCGACAAAGGAGGACTCTGCATTTTTCTAGACGAAGAATGCTGCTTTTATTTAATCAGTCAGGCTTAGTTCAAGATGCAAAAAAAAAAAAAAACTCAAAGATCGAGCCCAAAAGATTAGGGAAAGCAACTCCTCTACCTGGCCCTCTTGGCCCTCTTGGTCTCTCAGCACCTGGGCCCCCTGGCTACTCCCTCTCCTTGGACCCGCTATAATCCTTTTTCTTCTAATCTTTGGGCCTTGCTTAATACGCCTCTTCACCCAGTTTTTACAGAATCATATCTGAGCCTTTGCCCACGGAACCATACAGGACATGATGTTACTCTGGGAGTATCAACAATTTCAAAACCAAAGCCAACCCCCACCTTCCAGCCTTTGCCCTAGCCACCGCCCCCTGTCAGCTTGAAGCAGTCTGATGAAATCAATGCCCCTTCTCTATCATCTGTTAAAAGGCTGGAATGTTAGGGTCCACCCGACTGGACTGTTCCCCCTCCCATAGACCTAAAACCCAAATGCTAAAAAGTAAAACCCCTACCCCAAACCTGCTTGTAACTGTTTGACCCAGGATGTCAACCAGCTGTCCCAGGATGCAGTTAAGACATCTCCCTTGCACCACAGAGCTGGCAAGAAAAACATCCCCAGGAAGCGGTCAGACACCTGGCACAAAGGACCACCGCCCCGCCCTTTTCTTTTTCCTTCACCGGGACTCAGTTCCACACCTTATAAAACCTTGCTATAGCCTGTAAGCGGGGCTGCCTCCTCTGCTTTTGTCAAGAGGTAGCCTGGCAGGACTGACAATAAATCAGCTTGCCTAAGCTTGGGTCTATTGGCCTCATTCCTTTCTCGGCTGTCTGTCCAATTATCCTTATACTTTGTATAATGTAAGGAAAAAAAATTGGCTAGATTTTCATTAACGAAATGAGAATATAGTATTGGTGGCATGTGAATATTTAAACGTCAGGTCTTTATTTCCCTGACTTTATGCCAGTCATTCTATGATTCTGAGTCTATGCTGGGTTGGGAAATTAGAGAACTATTGATGTAGATCTCTGAGTATAACTGTGAAACACGACAATGGTAAAGGTGCTTGGAAAGACACTTTCCAAGCATGGGGCAAAAGATAAAATAGCAACAGAACATCCTTGTGGAGTTATATTAAAGGAATTTTGAACGTGTAAATAGAGATATAAACCTGTTTTTAGAAACTTAAAAAAATGAAATGCAGAATTAAAAACAAGGGACTTTTAGGCCTTAGGCAATTTTTAGACTTTATTTTCTATATGCACAGTACATAACAAAATGTGTCAGTTCCTAAAAGACAAATTTTGTCAATTTTATGCCTCCCTGTTATCACCTCTGTCAATTTTTTTTTATTTTCTTCTATATTCCCATTATGGAGATATTTTCTTTACCAATACAATCCAAGCATATAGGAAAGTCCTTGTAATCTAATAATTGCTTTATAAATGTTGCTCAATACATGAACAGGTTTTAACAATAACTTTGCATCAGAATTATATCTGCCAGAATATGTGGCATTTCCTGTTGCTTGTCACCATAGAAAATCCTATCATAAAAACTGAGATTTTAACCCATCATAAAAGTTATTCTAAATTATATCTCAATGAAACAACAGAGTCAATAGAAAGCAATTCAATTGTCTCTAAATTTGTATATTTTGTATTAATAACATTATTTTATTTCCCTAAGGACATCTTTTAGTTAATACTTAAAAAGGGACACTCAGCCTTTTAAGTTTCTTACCTCCTAGGTACCTAATGCACATTCTGTGTTTTTTTAAATGCCTCAACCAAGTACCTGGATCTTCCAGGTAGTTGCTGCCCTTGTAGGAGTAAATGACTGAGAAACACACTGCCCACAAAAGACAATGGCAAAAGACAATGTCCATAATAGCCAAGGAAACTGTAAAGCACAATCATGGGAAATAGTGCAGTTCTTTGTCATAAAATATTGAGATCATCAAAGATCACCAGCTTTTTGAGAAAAAAGTAAAAGAACAACAGCAAAAAGGAGAATAAACAATATTCAGAGAAAAAAGAGATAATTTAGGGTTTGCCTTAAGAGACCATTAGGGAGATAAAAAAAGGAAAGCAAAACTTCTGTGTTTAGATAATTTCCAGAATACAAGAAAAGGTGATCTAGAGTAGTTTAATGTGACTCTCCCTTTAGTATACTATTTTCCAATAATTTATTCTAATAGTTCTCTGTACGAATTTCTAGGCTGGTTGGATCTTCTATGTCTTAAGGTTTTTTCTCTAAATTTATCTATTTTTCAAATAATTGTGCCTTAATTTACAGATTTTTCTTAATATTTATCTTACAGTGCTCAATAAATTGCATTCTCGAATATTTAAGAAATCAGATTTCTTTAAACAAAGAAGTTTTAAGAATTCTTTTTGTTTTCTGGTTGATTTTTTTCTTTTATATAATTATATTATTGGTTTATCCAGGTACCATTTATGCTGGTTTTACTCTAGAAATTACCTAGATCTTCTATTTTTTATTTTTTACTTTTTTCTGCCTTGAATTAACTATATATCCCTAAGCATTATCTTTAAAATTTATCTTGGTTTTTTACTTAGCTTATTTTGTTTATTTCTCCTGTATCTAGTGACCTTTGATGTTTTATTAATATATTAAGGGACTGCATGGACTTGCTTCAGTAGCTCTTGAAGGTTTATCCACCTACTATGGATGCTGGTGTTTTGTAAATAATTTTCTCCCCTGAGAAGGAAATCTGCATGTAAATTCTATGTACATAGTTGAGGTGGGTTGACTAGGAAGATTTGGTTTAGTATAGTTAAGAGGTAAGGTGGCTACTAGACTAAGAGGCCCCAACTGTGAAATTGAAAAGGAACCCTATTTTCTAGTACCAGAAACCCTTTTTCTCTCACCAACTTCTACCAACCACACCCCTGCCCTGGCAACCCAAATTCACTCTCCCTGGAGTTAAGCCTTCTCTCTTCAGTCAAGGATTTGAGTTATGCAGACCTTGATCCTGGAGCCTCTACAAGATTACATCTAACGCTGGACATGGTGGCTCATGCCTGTAATCCCAGCACATTGGGAGGCCAAGGCAGGTGGATCACTTAAGGTCAGGAGTTCAAGACCTGCCTGGACAACATGGTGAAACCCCAACTCTACTAAAAATACAAAAATTAGCTGGGCATGGTGACACCTGCCTGTAATCCCAGCTACTTGGGAGGCTGAGGCAGGAGAATCGCTTGAACCCAGGAGGCAGAGGTTGCAGTGGGTCATGATCACACCACTGACCTTTAGCCTGAGCAACAGAGAGAGACTCCATCTCAAGAAAAAAGAAAAAAAAAAAGAAAAAATTATTACATCTATCAGATCAGCCATCTCCTCAGCTGTAACTCTCCCACACATCTTGGGAATTTTGTCTAACTTTACATGTTTACTTTCACAATGTTTCCACTGTTTTTCCTTCTTCAGGAATGCATTAAATTCTCATCTGCGATGAAACCCTATGTTCTAATCATAGTTTTGTTTTATTGCTTTTGGACACGTCTATGGTTATTTTAATAGCATAATAGGGGAAATAAAAAACAAATATATATGCTTGGCTCAATAACAATATTATTTTGAGGACCCAGCCATAGAGATAACTGGGAGGAATCGTTTCTTTTGACAATCATTTAAAAAGGATTGAATAATTTTACATTAGCATATGTAAACTAAAAATATTAATTGTTTAGTTTTTAGTAACTATTAATAAATGTCTGAATACAAAGAAAATAATCAATGTCAGAACAGATAAAGAGAATCAAGAACACTATAAAATTGTAAAATGGAATAAAGTCAAGTAAAGCAGAAAAAAAATGTAAAACAGATATCATAGTCTAACCAAAGCTGTAGATATTATATTTTATTCCTTCGGAAAAAAGAATTAGGAATATATATAAGAACTTCATTGGATATCAATTTAGGTTTCTTGTGTGTGAAGTCACACTAAAGTTAATTATAGAATTAAATCTTAATTTTTCTCATTCTAGATTGATGGTATTTTTGTTTGTTTCTAAGTAAAATTTTCCATGTCTTTATAAAGTACTAAATAAAAGAATTATTTAAGGACTAGATTTAAAATGTGTGTTTTCTTTCTGAATCTTAAAGATTCTTATGCACAGAATAAAAAAATAGGTAAGAAATTTCTTATAGAATGACATATTCACAAGGTTTAATTTCATCTTTGTATATGTCACTTTACAAAAATATCTTGCAAAATTTCTTGGAAACATTTAGTATGTAACCACTCATCACACATTCATTCATTTTAAAACACAATAAGAAGTTAACAGTTAAGAAAACGAAATTCACTTAAACATATAACAGTAACAATATCATAATATCTTTGATGTTTATTAGTTTACTTCCTATTTTAATAAAAATAACTACCTCTTTTTTATATTTTTTGGTTTGTGTATAGACTTCAAATTATATTTCATATTATTTTGAGACAGATTAATTAAGTATGAAGTGTTTGATATTGAATAAAGTATTCAGCATCAGTGTATCTAGGAGTTTACTTAGTAATCAATAAAGTGTTTAGCAGGTAAGAAATCAAAGCAATAAATAAAATAATCTTAAGAGTAGGTATAGAGTGATGCTAATATAACAATATGGCCAAAGATACAAGGCTATGAGTACTCTTCAATAATTAAGAATAGTCATTAATTTGGTGCCAGGTTTATAGAGTTCCTAAAAATTTTAAATGCTTTGTACCTTATCCTTGGATTATCAAAACTGATAACTAATTCTTTTTGATTCTACTTCTTTGAAAATCAATATCCATATTTGTCTTCAAGCTTACTCTCCATGATTCATAGTCCCTATGCAAGTTCAAATAATCACATATTTGTTAATCATCTACTATATGCAAATGAGAAAAAAGAGTATAAAACTGAACTTAGAAAGTTTGCTGTCTAGTGTTTGATACAGAAATAAATCATGAAATTTTTGTGCAGTACCTCTACTGCCTCAATGTAAGTAAATACAGAGTGCTATAAAATCTCCTAGAAACAGCCCTTCTCAGGCTCAAAAAGTTACATAAAGCTTTGGAGCATAGGTGAGACCTGAGCTAATTTCTGCATAGTGATTAGATATTTTTCAGGTTGTGGTGTATTTTGTGGAGGCAGGAGTGGGTGTTCAGAAGAAGTAACTGTTAAGAAGTAGAGAGATGAGAGGAAAATGTCCCATTTAGATAAATACATTTAGATACATTTCATGATGAGCATAGACTGTTTCTGAGATTGAGATGGGAGAGAGAAAAGCAGAATCTAGAGAGGTATGTTATGCCAACAAATTAATATTTGTCTTGAGAACAATTACAAGACCAATAACCACATTCTTAAAATGTAATGGTCATATTTAAATAATCTTTTAAAAGATAGTGTGCCTCTATTTTCAAGAAAAGTGAAGACAAACTATACTTGAAGGAAGAGTGCCAGCTCTGAGACTCTTACCATAAGTGAAGTGAGATATAATGTTGGAATGAACAAAGTGATGGCATGAGATGGAACAAAAAGACAGGCTTGGAAATATCAAAGAAGAGTCAATAAGCCCTAAAATTAATTCAGTACAGTGTAGGAGTGGAGGTGGTCATGGGGACTAGATAAAAAAAGAAGAAAAAGTCAAGGATACCTGCACTGGCAAAGCCATTTAGCAAGGCAAAAAGGAGAGAAAAAAGTTCTGTTTGAACTGGTTGAATTGGAGCTGCCTCTTGGGCATTCAATTTGAGAGTTCTCCCCAGAAAGTTAATTATATATGTCTGGAACATGAGAGTGATCAGGGATGTAAATATACATCAGGAAAACAGCAACACATGAATGGTAATTGAAAATAATGATAATTTTACCCTGGGAGAATGTGTACAATGAGAACAAAAATATGTCTGTGAAAGAGCCATGAAAAACCCCAGGCTTTGTCGGTTAGAGGAAGAAAGAGAGTCAGAAAAGGAGATGGAACAGAGGCAGCCAGAAAGATAGGAGAAAACTCCAGAGGGTGCATGTCATAGAAACCAAAAATGAGAGTGCTAAACGAAATCTAAGTTAGTAGAGGTCACCTAAGTAATAATCTGATATTTTCCATGAAAGTCATAAACTCCAAGTCACTATGCCTTTGGAATTAAATGCTTAAAATAAGATGGTAAGAGGAGAAATCACATTAAAAAGTGTGGCAGAGTAGGGAAGGAGAACTAGAGTTGGCCAGTTTAAACATCTCTTTCAAGTTGCCATTACACTGGCCTACTGCTAATTGTATAAATTCAATTACTATGTCCTTTTCTTCTTTTAGGATATTTAACGCACACTTCTTCCTTTCTTTACCCATAGACATCTTGTAAGAATCAGTTAAATCCCGTATTTTCCTTAGGTTTTGTGATGACTCTGCTCATACTGTTCTTTCCTTTCTGAACTGCTATAACATTTATCTCTCAATTTGAACACTGAAAGTATCAGTCAGGGTTTGTGACTTTATGTAGCACACTGCAACCCTGTCTTATTTGACCAAAAAAAGGAAATTTGTTATAAGAATATACCTAAGAAGACTGGCATATCAGGATAAGGTAAGGGGATAAAACAAAGGGATTTAAAACAAAGGGATGGAAAGAGTTGCAGCCAACTTCCATCCAGGAAAGACATCTCTCACTGACACTCACTGTCAACAGCCTCTATTACCAGCACCTCCTTGCCAGGAACCTTTGGTTGATGACACTGCTACAGGTGCCCCTTGAAACATTTCCCCTTTACCAGTTGTTCAAGCACCACTCCAAATTTAAAACCTTCTTGGTATCCCTTCCCACCTCGACCTCATATTATTGGTTGAACTCAGGTACATATATATATACACCTCAGTTGTATATATATATATATACAACTCAGGTATATATATATATATATATATATACAGGTATATGTATATATGTGTGTGTATATATATATACACACACACACATATATACAAACACACACATATGTATATATCTACATGTGTATACACATATATACACATACATGTGTGTATATATCTACATATATAATATATATAATATATATGTGTATATATACACATAAATACATATATGTAGATATATATATATTAAAACAAAGGGATGGAAAGAGTTGCAGCCAACTTCCATCCAGGAAAGACATCTCTCACTGACACTCACTGTCAACAGCCTCTATTACCAGCACCTCCTTGCCAGGAACCTTTGGTTGATGACACTGCTACAGGTGCCCCTTGAAACATTTCCCCTTTACCAGTTGTTCAAGCACCACTCCAAATTTAAAACCTTCTTGGTATTCCTTCCCACCTCGACCTCATATTATTGGTTGAACTGAGGTATATATATATATACACCTCAGTTGTATATATATATATACACACTCAGGTATATATATATATATATATATACAGGTATATATATATGTGTGTGTGTGTATATATATATGTGTGTGTATATATATATATACACACACACACATACACACACACACATATGTATATATCTACATGTGTATACACATATATTATATATAATATATATGTGTATATATACACATAAATACATATATGTAGATATATACACATATATATTAAATAAATATATATATATTTAATTTTCTTGGAGATTGTTCTACAATTCAGTTGTAACAAACATACTTTAGGTATTACAAATATCAAGGGTGCTATATTTCACCAATGCCAAGAATAGTATCTAGTTCTATTATTCTAAGAGTTTACAAATAACACCCATATTTAATCAATTGTTAACCAAATAGTTAATTTGGTGGTTATAATAAAGTCACAGACCACAGTTTGCATGGCAAGTTCCTGGGTGGGGGAAATGTGATCTCAATTATTTCTGAGTTCCTAGGGAAAGAGCAGGATTCAATGAAAATGGGTTATGGAATTCTGCTGCACAAGCCCTGTTGGGTATCTTCAGGTTTAGACTTGTTTCTTCTAGCTTCTGCTTTCTTTTCTTTTTTTTTTTCTTTACTTGAAATTCTGGGATACATGTCCATAACATGCAGGTTTGTTACATAGATGTACATGTGCCATGGTGATTTACTGCACCTATCAACCCGTCATCTAGGTTTTAAGTCCTGCATGCATTAGGTATTTGTCCTAATGTTCTCCCTCCCCTTGTCCCCTACCTGCCGACAGGCCCCAGTGTGTAATGTTCTCCTGCCTTTTTCTGTGTGTTCTCATTGTTCAATTCCCACTTATGAGTGAGAACATGTGGCCTTTGGCTTTCTGTTCCTGTATTAGTTTGCTAAGGATGATGTTTTCCAGCTTCATCCTTGTCCCTGGAAAGGACATGAACTCATTCTTTTTTTATGGCTGCATAGTATTCCATGGTGTATATGTGCCACAATTTCTTTATCCAGTCTATCACTGATGGGCATTTGGGTTGGTTCCAAGTCTTTGCTATTGTAAATAGTGCTGTGATATACATACAAGTGCACGTGTCTTTATAGTGGAATGATTATAATCCTTTGGTTATATACCCAGTGATGGGGTTGTAAAAGGTCTTAGGTTCTAAGGAGCTGGGAAAGAATGTCTAGCAATTTTAGCTTCTATACTGGAAGGCCTATTCTACCTCCCACATTATACATTATTATAGAAAATTCCCCAAAAGCAGGATGAGTAACCAAAACAAAAGTCACATCTTTGCAACAATGATTAATTATTTTTTTTCAAAAGCAATTTGTTATTGACTGAAGTAGACTGCAAACTCTTTGGACATACTAAATCATGTCTTACATTTCTTATCTCTCACAGGACCAAGCACAACTCTTACTGTGGTTAATCACATTACAACCCACTTCTTTACACCCTCATGAATTTTCTTTTTTTTTTTTTTTTCTTTTTTTTTTTTGTTGAGACGGAGTCTTGGCTCTGTCACCCAGGCTAGAGTGCAGTGGCGCGATCTCGGCTCACTGCAAGCTCTGCCTCCCGGGTTTACGCCATTCTCCTGCCTCAGCCTCCCAAGTAGCTAGGACAACAGGCACCCGCCACCACGCCCCGCTAATTTTTTTGTATTTTTAGTAGAGACGGGGTTTCACTGTGTTAGCCAGGATGGTCTCCATCTCCTGACCTTGCGATTTGCCTGCCTCGGCCTTCCAAAGTGCTGGGATTACAGACGTGAGCTACGGTGCCTGGCCCCCTTCATGATTTTTTATTCTTTTCTGGGTGGCTTCTCAGTTTCTTCCATTAAGGAATAGGGTATATTTTCCTAACCCTTGGCTTTGGATGCTATCATGTGACTTGTTTAGTCAATAGAATCCGGCTGAAGTAAGCGTGTGCCAGTTGGAAGTCTGGGCTTTAAGAGGCCTTGTACATTTCCCCCGGTGTCTTGTGTTCCTACCCCTTCCATGAAAGTGATATGTTTGGACTAAGCCTTGGTTCCAGGTGGGAGAAGAAAGGTACTTGGTGCAGAGAGAAGCTGCAGCAGGTAAGCCTCACCCAGATCATCCATTAAAAATAAATATGAGCTAAATAAATACTTGTATGCTTGTGAGTTTTAGTGGAGCTTGTTATGTAAAAGTAACTAACTGATATACATGTTTGAGAAACATTTCTTATATTAAAACAAAGTCCAAGTAAAAATTAAAATATTTAAGGTTTTGAGTTTCTGACTGAACTGAGAGTATATTCTCTTGTGTGTGTGTCTGTGTGTGTATACATACATACATATTTATACACACACACATATATATGTATCACATTCCAAAGTCTGTTTTTAAAAGGCATTTTATCTATATTATCTCTGTCTAGATGTCCCTCTATATCAAAAATTTTAAAGGTTCTTTTTTATGTGTTATCTTAATCCTACCAAGCTCAACATTCCTGTCACATACTC